>NC_000023.11:79432238-79735269 GCF_000001405.40 Homo sapiens | reverse complement strand
GACATTTTAATAATATTGATTCTTCCAATCCATGAAGATAGAATATTTTTCAATTTTGGGTGTCCTTTTCAATTACTTTCATCAATGTTTTACAGTTTTTAGTATAAGGATGTTTCACTTCTTTGGTTAATTCCTCAGTATTTAATTTTACATCTGGCTATTGTAAATGGGATTAAATTTTTTATTTCATTTTCTGGTTGTTCACTGTTGGCATATAAAAACGCTACTTATTTTTGTTTGCTGTTTTTTATCTGCAACTTCGCAGAATTTGTTCATTGGTTCTAATGGTTTTGTGTGTGTCTGTGTGGAGTCTTTAAGTTATTTTCAAATATAAGATTATATCATCTGGAAAGAAAAATGATTTTACTTCTTTCATTTCCAGTTTGGATGCCTTTATTTCTTCATCTTATCTGATTGCTCTAGCTAGGATTTCCAGTACTATGTTGAGTAACAGTAGTGAAAGTGGGCATTCTTGTCATGTTTTAGATCTTAAAGGAAAGGCTTTCTGTTTTCCCCATTGAGTATGATATTGGCTGTGGGTCTGTTGTATATGGCTTTTATTATGTTGAGATATGTTACTTCTATACCCAGTTTTCGAGGGATTTTTTTAATGAAAGAATGTTAAATTTTACCAAATGCTTTCTCAGCATTGATTAAAATGATTGTATGGTTTTCATCCTTTATTCCACCAATATAGTGTATCACATTGATTAATTTGCATATATTGAATCATCCTTGCATCCCAGGGATAAATACCACTTGGTCACGATTAATGATTTTTCTAATGTATTATTGAATTCTGTTTGATACTATTTTGTTGAGAATTTTTGCAACAGTATTCATCACAGATATTGGCCTGTAGTTTTATTTTATTGATGTGTCTTTGTCTGGTTTTGGTATGAGAGAAATATTGGATTTATAGAATGATTTTGAACTTATTTCCTCCTCTGTTTTTTGGATTAGTTTCAGTGGAATTTGTACTAGTTCTTCTTTAAACATTTGGTAGAATTCAGCAGTGAGGAAATCAGGTCCTGGGCTTTGCTTTACTGGGAAAGATTTTATTATTGCTTTGATCTCATTACTTGTTACTGGTCTGTTCATGTTTTGAATTTCTTCCAAGTTCAATCTTGGTAAGTTGTATGTGTCTAGAAATTAGTCCATTTCTTCTAGGTTTTTCAATTTATTGGAATATACTTGCTCATAGTAGCCACTAATAATCCTTTTAATTTCTGCAGTATCAATTGTAATGTCTCATTTTTTTTCTGATTTTAATCATTTTTATCTTCTCTTTTTTTCTTAATTGGTCTGGCTAAAGGTTTGTCAATATTGTATAACTTAATAAAAATACAACTTCTTATTTCATGGATCTTTTATATTGTTTTCTTTATTTTTATTTATTTTTTGTGTTGTTATTATTTATTCTCTTCCACCAATTTTTGGTTTGGATTGCTTTTGCTTTTCTAATTCCTTAAGATGCATCATCAGAATGTTTATTTGAATTTTTTTCTTTTTTTTTTTTTTGATGTTGGCACTTAGAGCCTTAACATTTTCTCTCAGTACTGCTTTTGCTGTATCCCATAGGTTTTGGTATGTTGTACTTTAATTATAATTTGTTTCAAGAATTTTTTCAATTTCCTTCTTAATTTCTTTATTTACCCACCACTCATTTAGGAGCATATTGTTTAATTTCCATGTATTCCTATAGATTCCAAAATTTCTTTTGTTTTCAATTTCTAGTTTTATTCCATTGTAGTCAGAGAAGATACCTGATACTATTTCAATGTTTTTGAGTTTTAAGACTCATTTTGTGTCCTCAAATATGGTCTATTTTTAGAATGATCCATATGCCAAGGGATAGAATGTGTATACTTTAGCGGTTGGATAAAATTTTCTGTAAATATATATTGATTCCACTTGCTCTATAGTGCAGTTTAAGTCCAATGTTTCTTTGTTGATTTTCTGTCTGAGAGATCTGTCCAATGCTAAAAATGGGATGTTGAAGTTTCCAGCTATTATTTTATTGTTGCCTATCTCTCTCAGTTGTAATAATATTTGTTTTATATATCTAGGTGCTCCAGTGTTAGTGCATACATATTTAAAATTATATTATTTTGCTAAATTGACCCTTTATTATTATGTAGTGACATTCCTTATCTCTTCTGATAGTTTTTATCTTGAAATCTGTTTTGTCTGATAGAAGTATAGGTACTTCTGCTCTTTTTTGTTTTTCTTTAGGATGAAATATCTCTTTGTATTGATTTATTTTTAGTCTATATACATTATTATAGGTGAAGTGTGTTTCTTGTAGGCAACAGATAAATGTGTCTTGTTTCTTCATCCATTTCATCACTCTATGTCTTTTGATTAGTGTTCAATTCATTTACATTCAGTGTTATTTTTGATAAGTAATGAACTTATGCCTAGCATTTTGCTACTTGTTTTCTTGTTAGCTTGTGGTCTCTTTCTTCTTTATTTCCTTCCTGTTTGCTTTTTAGTGTGGGTGATTTTTTCTGGTGAGATAATTTAGTTTTTTACTATTTTGTGTGTGTATCTCTCATGGGATTTTTGCTTTGAGGTTACCGTGAGGGTTGCAAATACTGTCTTATATCACATTTTTTAACTTTATAAGAACTAACACTGTTTGCATAAACAAACAGAAAACTAATAAAAACTCTATGTACTAACTTTATCCATGCTCTTTTTAACTTTTTTGTTTCTATTTATATCTTATTAAAGATATAAATATTATACTAAAACTACAGGATTCAGTCCTTCTCACTATTCTTTCTTCCCTCCAAAAGCAGAAGAGCCTCACTTTATAGTCATTACCACCACACACCATGAGGAGTACTCCCAGACTACCACCGATGTTTCCTTAAACACCTAGGGCTCTGAAGTCAGATTGTGGTGAATGCTGCCTGGTCTGGCACTCACCCTTTACAGCAGTGTCTTCGCTGTGGGCCAAGGCAGGTCCAGAAATGCCATCCAAATGTCAAGTCCTGGAATCAGGAACCTTAAGAGCCTTTTTGGTGATCTATCTTCCTGTGGCTCCACCTGTACCTACAGTGCAAGACAAACTCCTGTTTACTTTTCCCTCAGTTTTTCCCAGCAGATGTAGTTTCACCTCACAGTCAGCATGGCTGGAAATATTATTAATCTCACCTGAATCCATCAAGTACCAGAAACTCACCCAAGGCCTTTGGTGTATTACCTGGGTATTACTGCTGGTTATTCATGGCACAAGGGTTCTTCAGTTAGCAGATGATACACACTGTCAGATCTTGGTCCCTTTCTTCAGGGTAGTGGGTTCCCTTTCAGGGTAGGGTGTGTCTAGCGATGTTATCATACAGGAGCTAGGGCCTTGAATGGGGGCCTCGTGACTCTAACCAATGGCCTATTTTGCTGTGGCTGAGCTGGTATTCAAGACTTGAGATAAAATTCTTCCTACTTTTCCCTTTCCTCCCCTCTCCTCAAGTGAAAGAAAGGGGTCTCTTTTGGAGCTGTGAGCTGTGCATCCTGGGGTTAGGGGGAGGGCGATGCCAGCATTCACTTAGCCAACACAGCTGGAGTCTCAGTAGATCACCTGACCCCCAGTACACTGTGACAGGTCTCACTTCAGCACTAGGACTTGCCTAAGATTTGCAGTTCTGGTGACCTATATTTTCCTTAAATTTTACTTAGACTCAGAGCCCTTTAGCCCTCAGTGGTAAGGCTTGCAGAAACTTAAGTTCTGACTGCTGAGAATGGTGATTCCCCTCTGGCTAGGGTTGGTTTAAGTACTTCCTTCATGCATGGACATTGGCTGAGTTCGGTCCACTTTTACCTGGTGCTCTATTAGGAAAGCGCTGATTTCAATGCCTCAAAACTGCTGTGCTCTTTCTTCCCTAGCACCCACAGACATTCTTATCACCATGCCACCACTGCTGGTCATGAGAGGGGATTTGTTGGCAATTCAAGATTTTTTTTTCTTTTCACTCTCTTCAGTGCCTCTTTCTGTGATATTAAGTTAAAGACAGGTACTATGAAAGCTCACCTAATTTTTGATTCTTATGAAGGTGTTTTTTGTTTATTGTTTTTTTCCTGTTTAGGTAGTTTTAAAATTGATCCTATTGTAGGGAGGATGGTCAGTGGAAACTTTTACTCTGCTATCACATTCAGGAGAGTCCTTTGGCTCTCCCTTTTGCCTTTCTCCATGCTCTTGTTAAATAACCAAATGTTTTATTAGTATTTGCAAGACCCATATGAAAAATCTGTGACAGCAAGTTTGATAAGACTTTATATTAATGGTTATTTGAGAAAAATAGTAGTATCACATTGGGTGCCCAGGTGGAAGGGGCCCTCTTAATTAAAGCATTTCTCATCACCAAGTTAATGACCATATTCAGTGGGTGAATATTTATGTCATCATAATTTCAGTCCCCCATGGCTTACATATGAAGCATATTAGATGTTTTATCTGGGGTGTTCCACTTGGCATTTATAGGTGGAGTTGGACAGTCCTCATCTGCAAGGTAAATTGATCTTATAATGGCTTCTATCCAGTTCACTAGGCTGGCTGTCTTCTTAGAAATGCCCGTCTTTGTGTCTGGATTACATATTAGCCTGTGATTTGTTTAGTAGTGAGCTGTGTTTCCTGCATCAAACCAAACCTATTTTATCCACTCTGCGCCATTTAAAACCAAATACACTACTTACAAATAATTTACTTCTGCAATCCATTTTAGTACAGATTCCTCAGGAAGCTGATGATACTGATCTAAAAATGAAAAAAATTCCTTCCTCTGGTTTCAAAAGTTATTTGGTTTTGTTATTCCCTCATGTTGGCTACCTTCTTGGTAAGCACAGGTCTCAGGGGTACATTTTTGTTGCCCTGGCATAATATTCCTCTTTGTGGGTAGCTTTGGGGCTAGTAATTTGCAATCAGACAGACTCACTTCTGAGCTTTGTTAATTCAGGCCCAACACAGCACTCTTTTATTTTAATTTTAGCTATTATAGATAACAATAACCGAGGAATTTAATATTTTGCTTTTCCTTATTTTCATTTTTTATGCATCTAATGGACCAATTTCCCAGGTGTTGGATTTTTCTCTCTGAATTCCACTGGTATTCTGTGATTTTTGTTGTAAAAATGTTTTTAAAAATTAGAGAAATATAAGCAAAGGAAAAGTATGAACTAAAATATGAGTGAAAAAATGAGGTACAATAAATACATAAATGTCACAACAGGGAGAAAAATGAGTGGCAAATTAAAATGGAGGACAAAGTAAATTGAAAATAAAATAAAGGAGCTATGTCTTATGGAATTTTTAATAAAAAATTTAAATAAGTGGGAGAGACAAAATAGCTGAAAATAAGAGGTGTTTAAAGATTTTAAATAACTAATAAAATACATGCTCATGTCAACCGACAAAGCACGAGAAATGTACATGTCTGAAAGCATCATAATAAATAAAAAGTGTAACACCAATATAAAGAAAATAATTTAAAATCATTAAAGCATAAAATGCAAATTACTTACAAAGCAATAACAGATTTTCATCCCATTTATCAATATCTTCATAGAATTGATAAGCCAAAGGATATTATGTTTAAAATATTGAGTTAAAACCCCTGTCCAATGGGAATTGCATACCCATCTAAAATAGGTATCATGATTGAGGACAAAATGTAAATTAATACAAGTAATATTAACTAAATTTACTTCAATTATTTACATCTTTAAGAAATCTACTAATAACATTTTAAATAAAATGCTGTTTCTTACTAAAAAATAAATAAATTCCACTGGTGTCTTTTACTTTTAGTAACCGAATGGATCCCAGCTGCAGTTCCATACCATAGGTGAAAACATGCCTACCCAGGAATAAAAAGTTTCTATTTCCTACCATTTTATTCTTTCTGTTTGTATCCATTTAGTTTTATCTATATCATATTTCTTTCATTTTGAAGCCAACTTTAAATAGTCTCTAAACTTGTCAAAATCACTTTACCTTTTGTAAAAACCACAAGCTCTTGTTTTTTATAATCTTTACTAGAAATGCATCTTTCTTTATACACTCTGTATGTAGAAATTTTTTCTCTTATAAATAGTAGTTTTAATTACGTATATTAACTACTGTTCTAACTCTTAATAGTCTGAGTTCCCAGCGAGTGAAAAACCTAGGATTACTTAATTTAAGACAATATGACTAAGATTTTAAATTACCAAAGAGAATTTTGAAACTGGTTTTATTTACCAAAGATTACTAAAGTCACATAAACTAAAAGGCATTTGAGCTAGCATCTATTTTCCTAATAAAGTATTGGATTAAGTGCTTATTTTTCTTTAAGACAATTGATTAGAACTATTTTCTATAATTTGTTAGTGAAACATCAGATGAACATGACACATATAAACATATAGACATATAGACACATATAAGCAGATTTTATGAATTTTGTAAGATTTTTTATTTGCCAGGTTTCAGAAAGTTTCTCTCCACTTTAGGCTATAAATCTTTTGATTACTCATTTCATGCCCTAAACAATTGGTAGCTAGGCAAATTGAAATTTACATCTCCAAACACATAACTCTTAAATAAAGCAGAAAATGTACATCACAAAGAGACAGAATTCAAAACTACACAAAGGCAAGGTTTGTTATGTAAATTTCATGCCATTATCTTTCCTGTAGTTAATATTTCTAGTGCTTTAGGGGCAGAGATAGTGATGCATTTAAAAATGGAGATTTCTTTTGAATATATAAATTTCTTTCAAACACGTTTCAAAGACTGATTTAGTTTGATAGGTTGTCTTTTCACCTTAGCTTATTTCTTAATTAGATTGTGGGCTTTAGGATAGAGCCCTCTAAGCAACAAAGCCAATAAAGCATGCAGTTTTTAGGGTTCAAACCATACTTTTCGTATCTAAATATGAAAAGAAATGAGCAACCCCCTGTAGTAATAACCATTTCCTGTAAATTGTCCTTAGCCACCCCAACCCTGTTGCTCTCAGCTGACTCACCTGCCATTAGACACACCAAAGTCAAGTCCTCTTACAGTAGGAACTAATATCTGGCACCCCGCAAAAGCCAAAGAGATCAGGTAATGCAATACAAAAGTCAGCAGAGTTTTAGACCTAAGTGGAATCTGTCTGTTTACAACTCCTGGGATTTCATTAGAAAACAACAAGGTTCCTCACAAAAGGAGGAGTCTGTGGTGCTCTTTCTCTTTTCTCCAAGGGATTCCAGGTTGTCAAAAATTCTTTTTTTATGTTTGTTTTGTGGTATTCAGAGGAAACAGGGACTGATAGAGAGCAATTGGAGAAACAAACAGGATTCAGTTGACTGAGGAAAACATTCCCAAAACAGGATGCAAAAAGAGAACAAGCATCAAGGCCTTTAAAAATATAGTTATAGCTTGAATATCAGCTTTTAGTTAAGCTAACTTCTAACCATAGAGTTTTTTTGAAAGAAAAAATCCTTTCCAATTTCTTATTACAAGATTTTAGCTGGGACAAACAGCTGATATGTCTGGCCTTTAAACTTCCTTACCAAAAGTAACCTTCTAAGTGAAACCAATAAACCTTAACCAAGGTTAGTGTTAGCAGTGGCAAATTCATATAAGTCTGTAGCAACTCAATTCTTGCCTCCTCAGAGGAAATAATTAATTCAAGGGGTATAAGGCAGAGTCAGAAGCCAAGGAAAGTTTTAGAGCAGAAGTGAAAGTTTATTAAAAAGTATTAGAGCAGAAACTAAAAGAAGTCAAGTACACATAGAAGAGGTCCAAGCAGGTGACTTGAGAGATCCGAGTGTGCCATTTAGTCTTTGACTTGGTGTTTTTATACATTGGCATTGTTCTGAGGTTTGCATCTCTTCTGTCTTGATTTTTCCTTGAGGCAGGCTGTCCCCATGCACAGTGGCCTGCCAGCATGTGGGATCAGTCACAGGCACTGTGTGTTTACTGAAATTGTACACATGCTCTTTTGAGTTTGAGGTGTTTTTTTTTCCTTACCCATCGAGTGGTCCTAGGAGAAGGTCATATACCAATTAAACTCTGCCATTTTGCCTCTTAGAGTGTATGCTTGAGTCTACTCGCCCACATCTTGAGATCTTATCAGGAAGTGGCTAAACACCAGCTTCAGGTGTTTTCTATCTATTTGAAGACTGGCTTTCCCTGGCACTGGCTGCAACTAATTATTCTATTAGAAAGACTGTTTAACAACCCCCGACCATCACCTGATGGTTGCCTGACATTCCTTGGGTCAGGGGCTCTCCTGCCCTGCTCATGTCTGCCTAATTATCTACTCTAACATTTCTCCCTTTAAGAGTCTAAGACCCAATTCTTTGGGAAAATAGACAAAGGTAAGTCTTCTGTAACTACTTCCTGCTGACAGAGGGGTGGTGTTGGTTGTTCCATGGGTTTTGGCCTTTTGCTAGCTGTCAGGGCAGGGTAGCTCCATGGGTTGGTGAAAGTGGTATTCAGCCAATTCCAAGGAAGACAGGGGCAGAATTTTGCCTCTGTTATGCCCCAGTGATGGGCAGTCTAGAAGTCATCTGTAGAAGGGTGACTTTTGAATATTGCGATGATGATATCCCCCACTGAGGATTATCTAGAGCTTGATGGTCTGAAGGTGAGAGAAGACAAATCAGGCTATTATATTTAGAAGACATAGACCAAAAGGAGCAAAAGTATAAGATTAACAAGTGGGCCCAAAAAGAGAAGAACTCAGGAGAACCATTTCCACATTTCTTATCAATCTAACCAACCCTGAGAGGCTTGTTCTTATAAACTGGAGGTTCGATTCAGGAGTTGGCTGATGTTGTTTTGTACTTTTCCTAATTGATTTACCCAAAAGCAACATTTTCCATCTGAGACTAAACAGATTTCTTCCTGTTCTGCCATTAACATATCTACCCTTCAATGATTTTTGAGGACTACAGTTGTGCTGAGGTCCCTGGAAACAGGGCTTTAGCCTTTATAACTTGGTGAAGGGACACTATAGCATTCCCTGCATATATAGTTCCATTCCTGACAAAGCTACTACCATCAGAAAACCATATTTTATTTAGATTATCTAGGGGCTGATTTTTAAAGTCTTTATGGCTGGCATAAATTTGGTTAAGTATCTCACAACATGAATGTGTTCAGTTATCCACTCCTGGTAGTGGCAGTAAGGAGGCTGAGTTAAAGGTGGAACCCCACTCCACTGTTAAATGTGGATTTTCTAACAAGACTTGGCAGTTTAGCAGTCTGTTGTCAGTGGGACATTGTGGTTTTTTTATGTCCAATAAGGGGTCTATTCGGTGAGATGTCAGGAGTCAAACTGACTGCCTCATGCTGCTTTTGAGGGCTCCTAGATGAGGAAAGCTGCTGCAGCCACTACCTTGAGGCAATGTGGCCACCCTTGTGATACTGGGTCTAGGTTCTTTGAAAAGTAACCTACAGGATGTTTAATTGGCCTCATTGTGTAAGGTAGAACTTTTAGGGCTACATCTTTCCTTTCAGTGATGAGAAGCTAAAATGGTTACGTTAGTATGGGTAGCCCAAGGGCTGGGGCTTGTGAGAGGGCAGTTTTTTGCCGCCTAAAGGCTTGCTCCTGATCATTTTCCCAGAGAAGTGAGTCCCTATTTATCCCTTCTTTTAGAGCCTGATATGAAGACTTAGCAATCCCACCATATCCCCATATTCAAAGTCTGCAATATCCTGCAATCCACAGAAAAGACTGAAGTAGCTTTTGGGTGGTTGGGATAGGTATTCTAAGGATGGCCTGTATCCATTCTGGAGAGAGCTTTTGTTATCAGGGGTCAAGATTATCTCCAGGTATTGGACCTCTTGTCTTAGTAGTTGTGCCTTGGCCTTGGATAACTTGTACCCTCTGTCTGTGAGGAAACTGAGTGTCTGGACTACAGATTGGATTCCAGCTCTCTTGTTGGGGAGCAGATTAACACGTCATCCATGTACTGTAGGAGACATCCTCCCTTCTCAAGAGTTGGTGACTCTATAGCCAAGCCTTACCCAAACAAATGGGGACTTTTACTGGAATCATGTGGAAGCACTGTTCAGGTGAGCTGTTGAATCCTTCCTTTTTAATTCTCCCACTCAAATGGAAATAGAAGTTGGGAGGATGAGTCTAGGGGGATACAAAAGAAAGCATCTTTGATGTCTAAAACTGAAAACCACTGAGCATCTAGAGATACTTCTCCTAGAATTACTTTTGAGTTAGAGACCATTTGGTATATTGGAAAACTGCCTCATTTATAATTTGCAGGTCCTGGACTAGCCTGTATTTTCCATTGCTTTCTTTAACAGGTAAAATGGGAGTGTTTTCGGGGGAGATACAGGATATTAATAACCCATGCTTTCGAAATTTTTAAATCAAAGGCCGAAGTCCCCTTTTGACCTCTGGCCAAAGAGGAAACTTCCTTCTACAAGGATAACTAGAAGCATACTTGAGCTAAATTAATATAGGCATTGCCGTTATGACTTTTTGTGGTATTACTGAGGTCCAGACCTCTGGATTAATGAAAAGGTATGTGGGAAGTTTATCCTGGTGTGTAGTTTCCTTGAGGCATACGATCATATTTGGAAAAGGAGGTATTGGCCCTGGAAGAAAGGTTAACTGAACCCCTAGTTTAAACAAAATATCTCTACCAAAAAGGGGCATATGATATTCTAACATCACCAAAAATGAGTGAGAAAAGACAATTTCCCCCTGTAGGCAGCACAGAGGGGGAGTAAACCTTCGGGTTATAAGCACCCCATTTATTTCCATCACCTGGCAGGATTTGGAGGGTAATTGCCCGAGCAAAAAGGTAAGCACTGAACAGGCCACTTTCATGTCCAAAGGAAAATTTATAGTCCTACCTGCCACGTCCAAAGCAGCCCTTGACTCCATCCCTTCAATAGTGATACTTGATCTGGGAGCTGGCCGGACCATAGGGCCCCTTCAGCTCAAGGCTGTCAGGGATTGCGATTTTGTCCAAGGGGCCCCCCTTCCAGTGGCCTGGTTTCCCACATCAATAACAATTACCTGAGAGGGTATTCTGAGAGCAATCTGGAGGGTGCTAGTGAACTTGTAGAGCAGCTAATAGTTGGAGCTGCTCCTTTTCCTTCCACCTCTCCTTTTACTGAGCCCTTTCTCTTCTTTCTGGTCGCAGTTATAAAAGACTGAGGAAGCTATTTTGAGGATGTCAGGGTGTTGGGGGGCAGTGTTCATTTTTGGAGTTTCTTCCAAATATCTGGAGTTTCCTCCAACTATCTGGAGTTGCCTGAGTTAGGAAACGGTTCTTTAGAACCAATTGCCTTTCTGGTGTTTCTGAGTGAGTCTGGGTTGTTATGTTTCACTAGGGCCTCTTGTAGCCTCTCTTGGAAAGTGGTGGGGTTTTTAAGAAGGGCCTTGATCTATAAAGGCCAATTTATTATAGTTCAAGGGCTTTGTTCTGCTAAGCTTTCATTACTTCTACCATAGAAAGAAATATGTGGTCCCTTGCCCATATACCCCCTTGGGTATTGTAATCCCAGTTGGGATCAACCTGGGGAACTGCAGTGGCTCCTACAGGTAGCCACAAGGATCAGTCAGGATCAGTCATATGCATTACATTTTCAAATTGTTGGACAGCCTCTGTAATATAGTCACATTCTCCCTTAGACAGGGTTTTCCCTAGTATTACTGAGAGACCCCTCAAAGTGAGTTCAAATGTTAGGCCCAGTTTATAAAACCCTTCAGTGTATTTGTCAGGGTCCTCCATAAACTTCCCTAGTTTCATTTTAATTTGGTTCAGGTCTTGCATAGTAAATGGAATATGGACTATAGTGGATCCACTAAGGCCACTAACCTCTCAAAAGGGGCATAGCTTAAGGGAGTGGTGTTCAGAGGATGGCCCTGGGTAGGGAGGGGAAGGCTCCGGGACTGACAGACTTAGATATAATGGGGTAGAAGGGGCAGTGAAGTTTAATCTAAGCTCCGCCCTTGGTTCCTTCAGGGTTGAGCCCTGGGTAAACCCAATCATGAGGTCTTCTGAACCAAATATAGGGGGCTGCCACAGCTATTATCACTGGATCCATTTTACAAGTATGACATAGGTCAGGATTCTTTCTTAGGTCCATGAGGGCCTGTACATAGGGTATTTACAGCCATTTTCCCTGCTGGCAGCAAAATAAATGTAGTTAACAGATCATATTAAAATTATGTTTCCATTTTCCAGCCAAGATTTCTGGTCCCAGATATTGGATTCAACCCAAGCTGTGTTACAGAAATATATTAGCCTTTTCTCTTTTACGGTTTGAGGGTCAAACTTTTCCCAGTTTTTGAGGATGTATCCAAAGGGCATGTCTTATGGTATGGAGACATGATTAACCATCTGCAAAGAGAGGACAGAGAAGGCAAAGGAGAAAAAAAGAAGACATCCCCTCTCATTTCCCTATTATTATTTCCTGAAGAGGGCATCTACTATTAGTCCTTAGAGTTCCAAAATAAACTGGTCATACTGGGTACCCTTAACCTAATCCCAATTACCCAGTGGAGAACAGAAGGGATACTGGAGTAAGCAGGGACCCCTTATTTCTTCTTGGGGTTCCAGAATAAACTATCCTTACTGGGTACCCCTACCTTGCTTTCATCTCTTTTCTAACGGCAATCTGTTCTGTGCCTGTAGCCTGGGACCAGCTTTAATCTGTGTCCTATTCATATTTTTGTCTCTTGCACCTGAGGCCTTGGGCCCATCTATATCTTTGTTTCCATGACCTTATAGCGACTCTCAGAGCATTCTAGCAACAAAATTATTATCTCTTTTCTTATAATCCCACTTCCCATATTCTTTAAGTAGATGAGAAGCCTGTTTTTCAGCTACCTGCCACAAGATGCTGGACTTTTCTCCCTTCGAATATGACCTTGAAGGTCTTAACGCATATTGAGAAGGATGTGTAAGTGACTTGAGTAATGAAAAAAAAATTGTATTTGGGGTTCCTCATCCTCGCTGGATAACATGCAGAAATGCTTAATCAGATGAGATAATTCCTTTACTACAGGACGAAGTGTGAGGAAGTGAGATAGATACTCATGGAAAGCCTTCAAATGCTTGCAAAAACAGCAGCCCTTGAGTTCGAGAGGGCAATGTTTATTTGCCCTCTTAACATGAAGGAGGAACTTCCAGAAGGCTTTGGGCTTAGGCTTACAAATGGCAAAGGAACAATTTTTCCTGCTCCAAAAGGGGTGCTAACTCAAAAAAAAAAAAAAAAAAAAAAAGCAAGCCTCTCTTGTGAGCCTCCAGGAAGGCTATTAGTGTTTCAGGTCTACTTGATGTGGATTCCAAGGTCCTTCTCACCGCCATGAGCCACCCATTAGGGTGAGCTGAGAGAACAGCCAAGGGATGTAGAGCCACTGTGGTCAAGAGGAATAATTCTAAGGTTTGGTTAGTAAGCAGGAAAGCGGAAGAGAAGGAAAACAGATACAGGGTTGAATCACTCCAGCCAAAGAAGGCAAGGCATAGAGGTATCTTACCACTAGGGAACTTATCCGAGTCACGGCACAAAATTATGTTCGCAGTGGTCAATCTGTATGGGTCTGCAGCAACTTGATTCTTGCCTCCTCAGAAAAGAATTCATATGAGAAACATAAGGCAGAATGAGAGACTGAGGCAAATTTTAGTGCTAGAGTGAAAGTTCATTAAAACTGTTAGAGCAGGAATAATATGAAGTAAAGTACACTTGTAAGAGGGCCAAAAAGGTTACTTGAGAGATCCAAGTGCACTGTTTGGTACTTTACTTGGGGGTTTATACATTGGCATGGTTTGGGGTTTGCATGGCCCCTCCCTTGATTTATTCTCAGGACAAGCTGTTCCCTTGTGCATTGGTCTGCCAGCACTCGGGAGGAGCCACGTGCACAGTGTGTTTACTGAAGTTGTATGCATGCTCATTTGAAGTATTTTTTCTCTTACCAGTTGAGTGGTCCTAGGGGAAGGTCATATACCAGTTAAACTGTCGTTTTGCCCCTTTGTGTGCATGCTTAAGCCCATTTGCCCAACTCCTGATATCTTATCAGGAAGCTGCTGATCAGAAGCCTCAGGTGTTTTCTAACTGTTGGGAGACTGCCTTTCCCTGGTGCTGATTGCAACCAATTATTATTTTAAGAAAAAAGGTTAACAACTGCGTGACCATCTCCTGATGGTTGCCTGACATTCCTGGGGGAGGGCCCTCTCCTACCCCGCTCATATCTGCCTAACTATCTATTTTAACATTAGGACTTAACCAAGGATTCATGAGGCAACTCCAGATAGGTGCAGAACAATCCTCACAAGATCCAGAATCACCCACAAAGACAGCTCAAATTTTAAAAAGTAGCTAAAAGTCAGGTACAACTCACATTTCTATCTGGCCACATTCCCTAGAATCTCAGCTTCTCAGCTAGTCATTTACACATGAAGACCAAAAAGTCCATTTGCTCCTAGAGATAAAAAACAATTCAAAATTTGTCCATGGAAGGCAAAAGGATCAATAAATGGCAAAAGTCACATAAATATTAAACCAAAAGGACTGATTTCCTAATCAGGGATTTTACCTACAAGACTACAAACTGAAATTTCCTCTGATGTTAATTTCATGTGAAATTGAGGGTGGGCAGTTTTTATTTACAAGGGTTTTTACCTTGTTTTAGGTCAGATTTTGTACTTTAATTTAGTCAAGAAAGTTTTGAAGGCTAGCCATAACACTATTATGTGTCCTTTTAAAAATTTAACATATTCATCAATTGTTTTATTTTTTTAATCTCTATTTTTTTTATTTTCAATGGTGTACTTAGATCCAATAGCCATTCAATTCAAAAACCTCTTTATGTAAAGCCCAGGTGGTAATTTTCCAGATTTCTACCATATATTCCTGGAGAGGATTTAAATGAGACAATCCTCATGATCCTCCAAAATTTACTCTCGGAAATATACTTAAGATAGCAAAAGATGAAAAAAGCCCCATAGGGATGGGACATTTTAAGACCACTCCCTAAAGAGCTTAACACCTTTGGAATGAATAGTGGGCAGCTTAAAATATTATGTGTCTCAGACTCCCAATATTTTCAGACTGGCTACCTAATGTGACCTCAAAAATCATATCCTCCAATGGTGGAGACTAAGAGAATACCCCCACTTAGTCACAGGTCAAACACTCAAGGACATAAAACAAGATAAGAGGGAAACGTCATCTGGTTTTTATTTCAGAGACCCACAGCAAAATTGTTTTAACAGATACCAGTTTCATCAAAACCGCAAAACTGACATGTCTTCAGGGCCAGTTTGAACAGCAGGCTTAAAAGTGTTCTAGGCCCATTTTCTACTCTATGGTACCTCTCTTTATGACAAAATGATACAGAAAGACAAAGAAAAAGGAAAATCACAACCCAAAAGAAAACTCCTTCTGAGAGGAAAGGGGTGAAATGATATCAATATTTATACCACGAAGTACCAAAAATACACCAGAGTCACTAAAACCCAGGATTAGTCATACAAATCCTTTCTTCTCATTAATCATTATAGAGAAAACAAACAGTGATTTTTATCATCTGTTCAACTAGAGTGTAAAGCGAGAGAGGCTGGGAGCCTGACCAGTAAGAAGGTCTTATTCTTTTGCAAGGTTGTCAGATTCCTGAATTCTCTTTACTTGTGTTACCCTGCTTGCTGCATGATACTATGATGGCCATAGGCTATTGGCCCCCTAAAGATTCACTGAATAATCACTGACATGAGGCAGATTGATTAATAGGAGAAAAAGCATTTAAATATATTAAATGTGTATACATGAGAGTCTTCAGAATGAAGACCCTTAGCTAACGCTTCCTAGATCTGGACTAAGGAAGGTATGGCAGGGCCACTTTAAAATATGTCAAAAAATATATTTTTGGGGTAAACATTGACTTCTGTTAACTAGCCATTGTTTCTATAATTGAAACTTGACTCTTCAGCTATGGGAGTTTAGGTTGACATTAAAGGGGGCCAAGAGTTGGTTAAATCTTACAGAAGATAGACTGAAACCTAAAACAGAAAAAGTGACTACACAACGTACATATTGTTTAGATCACTGAGCATAAGGAGAGGTTATAGCTACCTGGCAATAAACTTAGAACTTCCGCTGCCAAATCCCAAGATGAAACCCTAAACCAGCTCTTTACCTGGAGATGGGGCCCAAACTGAAGACTGCTCTCAATCATTGAATATAGAGAAAACATGCTTTCTTGATCAAAAGTGAGCAAACTCCTTTTTTTAGAGGAGTTTCCTGGCAAAATAAACCTTGTATCTCAAATTGAAAATTATATCTACAACTATCTGACCTTTGACAAACCTGAGAAAAACAAGCAATGCAGAAAGGATTCCCTATTTAATAAATGGTGCTGGGAAAACTGCCTAGCCATATGTAGAAAGCTGAAACTGGATCCCTTCCTTACACCTTATACAAAAATTAATTCAAGATGGATTAAAGACTTAAACGTTAGACCTAAAACCATAAAAACCCTAGAAGAAAACCTAGGCATTACCATTCAGGACATAGGCATGGGCAAGGACTTCATGTCTAAAACACCAAAAGCAATGGCAACAAAAGCCAAAATTGACAAATGGGATCTAAATAAACTCAAGAGCTTCTGCACAGCAAAAGAAACTACCATCAGAGTGAACAGGCAACCTACAAAATAGGAGAAAATTTTTGCAACCTACTCATCTGACAAAGGGCTAATATCCAGAATCTACAATGAACTCAAACAAATTTACAAGAAAAAAACAAACAACCCCATCAACAAGTGGGCAAAGGATATGAACAGACACTTCTCAAAAGAAGACATTTATGCAGCCAAAAGACACATGAAAAAATGTTCATCATCACTGGCCATCAGAGAAATGCAAATCAAAACCACAATGAGGTAGAATCTCACACCAGTTAGAATGGCAATCATTAAAAAGTCAGGAAACAACAGGTGCTGGAGAGGATGTGGAGAAATAGGAACTGTAAACTAGTTCAACCATTGTGGAAGTCAGTGTGGCGATTCCTCAGGGATCTAGAACTAGAAATACCATTTGACCCAGCCATCCCATTACTGGGTATATACCCAAAGGACTATAAATCATGCTGCTATAAAGACACATGCACACGTATGTTTATTGTGGTACTATTCAGAATAGCAAAGACTTGGAACCAACCCAAATGTCCAACAATGATAGACTGGATTAAGAAAATGTGGCACATATACACCATGGAATACTATGCAGCCATAAAAAAGGATGAGTTCATGTCCTTTGTAAGGACATGGATGAAATTGGAAATCATCATTCCCAGTAAACTATCACAAGGACAAAAAACTAAACACCGCATGTTCTCACTCATAGATGGGAATTGAACAATGAGAACACATGGACACAGGAAGGGGTACATCACACTCTGGGGACTGTTGTGGGGTGGGGGGAGTGGGGAGGGATAGCATTAGGAGATTTACCTAATGCTAAATGACGAGTTAATGGGTGCAGCACACCAGCATGGCACATGTATACATATGTAACTAACCTGCACATTGTGCACATGTACCCTAAAACTTAAAGTATAATAATAATTAAAAAAAAAGAAAATTTTGGGAAACCAGAGAACCTCAGCAGAGAGTAGCTTTTGAGCCTTAAAAATTTCCACAGTTTCTCAGAGAAAATCTCTTGCTGGCACCAACAGGAGAATCACTGCAGGTCACAGGGGCTAATATCTTCACTGAGATCCCTTTGTGGTTACCAAAATAACAACCAAAATGAGTGATCAAGGAATAAGCTGCAAATTATTGAGTCTTATTGAGCCAGCTTGAGGGCACACCTGAAAAAATAGCTGTGTTTTCCAAAGAGGTTCTCATGAACTTTAGTATTTATGCATTTTTAAATAAAAGGCAGGGTGGCAGTGAGAGAAATAATTACATACTTGTGAGACTTCAGTTAGTGCCCAGTAAATTTACATTTTACATAAGATAAGGTAAAAATCTGATGGAAAAGGGAATAGAGGAAGCCGAAGTATTAGGGATAGGTAAAGGAATATTTAATCTCATCTTATTTTTGTTCTGTACCTGGGAAGATAAACTAATAGTCATTTGAAATGGCTGGTTTCTGTTTAGCCCTAAAGGAAGAAAGTCTAATGAGTGGTAGCAAAGGAGAGGGGTATAACAAGGCATGTCTGATCTCCCATCCTGTTATGGTTGTATACTCAGCTTCCAAGGTTTATCTGGCATTCTTTTGGTCAAGAAAGGGCCCATTCCGTCAGTTGGGAGCTTAGAATTTTATTTTTATTTCTTACTCTGAATGACATGACATGCTAGTACAAGACTCAAATCAGAACACAGAGCACTAGGTAAGAACTGCTTGCAATGTCCACCACCATACAGATCTAGACCTCTTTTCTCCCTTTCTATTCATGGCTCTTCTATATGGGGTCACTTCTCTCGCCTTAGATTAACTAGCCTCTTGTTTCTGCAGCTATCCTCTTAAAGAGATTTCTTGCATTACTTATACCCTGATGAACTGGTAGTTTATCTCACTAAAGTAGAGAGAAGAACTGATGAATACATAATCTCTTGCATCATACACTTTCTAGAAGGGCATATATATATATATATATATATATATATATATATATATATATATATGACTTTAGGGGCCAAATGTGTAGGGCTAATTTAAATTTTCATTAAATATCTCTAGAATGATATAATTAACTATCCTCCTTGATCTAATTTCTTCCTTCCTGTCACTTCTCAATACTCACATCAGATAGCTCTTCTTTGTCTCTAAACTGCTACTTGATATTATTAAACTTGCACAAATTTTTATTAGAGGAACGTAGATCAACTTACTAAATCACTTTATTTTGTTCATAAATCTAAGCACAAATCCTCTGACTAGAGTGCTATTTCATACTTGTTTTGTATGTGAAATAAAATGCAAGAGTTTTGTGTCCATTCTTTATTTATACCCTTAGAGATCATTGTGCCCCCACTGTGTTTAACCTCTTAGAGATCATCTTAGTATATTTTCAGGTTTTGCCACTATGCTATGATAGTTTAGGCAGTCTGATAAGAAAGTGGAATACATAAATGCATGTTAAAATATTTTATATTACATTTATATTCCTGAATTTAAAAAATCATCATGATCCATTTTACAAATATAACTGAAAATCTTAGCATATATCTAGTAATTGTTGGAATCCTGCATACAAAATAATTTTTAATTTCCTGACTATGTTTGTTGCTTGTAGAGTCTGCTCTCTTTTCCTACAAGCTTCAGTAAGGCCACATGATTTGATTTGTGTTTCATTTTCTCCTTTAACTTGGCTCATTTTATTGGAATTTACACTTACCTCAACAATCAGAGTTAAAAAAAGTATCTATTCTCTGTATATCTGTGTTATACTGCTAAATTTCTTTAGTGATATTAATATAATATGTGTATAATTATAGAAATATCATATCCAAACTTTTTTTAGAACACTGGAGTTGGAAACCATTCTTTAAATGTTGGGCATAAAGGAGATCAGTGAGTGAAAATTTAGACTGTGCATTTTGCTGTTTCAGCAATTTATGGCATTTTAAATTAAATTAGTCAACATACATGAAAGCACTTTGTGACTTGTAAAGCAGTCTATAAACATAATCTAGCTATTTAATTAAGTTTTTTGACATCTGGTATCAGGTTCCATGTGGAAATGAAACAAAAGATTACTTTAGGAAGCTCTGTCTTAGGTCATTTGTAAAAATGTGCCAGGATTCAGCATCTGTAGTCTCAAATGTTATTAAATATCTGACTACTTTCAGAAATTTAATTATCTATTTTAGTCATAGTTTTTAGTAACTTATGCTTATAAGAATTTATTTAGAGAATAGCTCTTGTACTCTTCCACTTGTAAGTATATACTGGCATCTAAAAATTTAATCTTGCTGAAAATATAACAAGTTAATTACATTTATAAATAACTATTTATATTAAAATAAATGATAGCATTTATACCTTAAATTTATTCTAAGTTATTATAAAAATTCACTCTAGATCAAGTTTACAATGAAATTTAAGCTAATAGTACTATTTGAAACTACTTCTTCAGTTACAAAATCTTTGTGGAGACAATCACACTGACTATATTAGTCCATTTTTACACTGCTATAAAGAAACACCCAAGATTGGGTAATTTATATAGGAAGGAGGTTTTATTTACTCACAGTTCTGCATGACTGGGGAGGCCTCAGGAAACTTACAGTCATGGCAGAAGGGGAAGTAGGCACATCTTACATGGTAGCAGGAGAGAGAAGAAGTGAAGCGGGAAGAGCCCTTTATAAAACTATCAGATCTCATAATAACTCACTCATTATCATGAGAACAGCATGGGGGAAACTTCCCCCATGATACAATCAACTCCTACAAGGTCCTTTCCTCAAGACCTGGGGATTAAAATTCGAGATGAGATTTGGGTGGGGACACAAAGCCTAACCATGCCATTCTGCCCCTGGCCCCTCCCAAAACTCATGTCTCTTTCGTATTTCAAAACCAATCATGCATTTCCAACAGTCCCCCAAAATCTTAACTCTTTTCAGCATTATCTCAAAAATCCAAGTCCAAAATCTCATCTTAGATAAGGCAAGTCCCTTCTGCCTTTGAGCCTGTAAAATCAAAAACAAGTTGGTTATTTCCAAGATACAGTTGGAGTACAGGCATTGGATGAATGCTACACTTCCAAATGGGTTGGCTGAAACAAAGTGGCTACAGGCTCCATGCAAGTCCAGAATCCTGCAGAGCAGTCAGTAAATGTTAAAGCTCCAAAATGATTTCCTTTGACCATGTCTCACATCCAGGGCACGCAGATGCAAGGGGTGTGCTCCCATAACCTTTGGCAGCTCCACTCCTGTGGCTTTGCAGGGTATAGTCCATCTCCCTGCAGCCACCTCCAGCTACTTTCATGGCTGGCATTAAGTGTCTATGGCTTTTCTAGACTCTTTATGGAAGCTGTTGGTGGATGTATTATTCTGCGGTCTGGAGGATGATGGCCCTCTTCTCACAGCTCCGCTAGGCAACCCCACATTTTCCTTCCTTATTTCCCTAGCAGAGGTTCTCCATTAGCTCCACCCTTGAAGCAGTCTTCCGTTTGGACATCCAGGTGTTTCCATACATCCTCTGAAATCTAGGAAGAAGTTCTCAAACCTTAATTATTGTCTTCTGAAAACTTGCAGGCCCAGCACCATATGGAAGCTGCCAAGGCTTGGGGCTTGCACCCTCTAAAGCAGTGGCCTGAGCTATACCTTTGCCCCTATTAGCCATGACTGGAGCTGGAGCAGCTAGGTCACAGGGGACCAAGTCCTGAGGCTGCACAGATCAGAAGCAGGGCCCTGGGCCCAGCCCTCAGAACCATTTTTAACTCTTAGGTCTCTGGGCCTGTGATGGGAGGGGTTGCCTGGAAGATCGCTGGCATGCCTTGCATACATTTTCCCCATTGTCCTGGCTATTAACATTTGGCTTCTCATTACTTATTCAAATTCCTGCAGCAGACTTGAATTCCTCTCCAGAAAATGCTTTATTTTTTTTCTACCACATCATCGGGGTGCAAATTTTTCAAACTTTTATGCTCTGCTTCCCTTTTGAACATAAGTTCCAATTTCAGATCATCTCTCTCAAGTTCATAGTTTCACAGAACTTTAAACTTTCTAGAGCAAAGGCAAAATGCTGCCAGTCTGTGTTAAATCATAGCAAGAGTGACCTTTGCTCCAATTGCCAATAAGTTCCTCATCTTTATCTGAGACTGCCTCAGCTTGGACATCATTGTCCACATCCTTATCAGCATTTTGGTCCAAACCATTAAAGAAGTCTCTAGGAAGTCACAAACTTTCCCACACATTTCTTTCTTCTTCTGAGCCATCCAAAGTGTTCTAACCTCTGCCTGTTACCCAGTTCCAAAGTCACTTCCACATTTTCAGGTTATCTTTATAGCAGTGTCCCACTCCTGGTACCAATTTACTGTATTAGTCAATTTTCACATGCTATTAAAAACACCTAAGACTGAGTAATTTATAAAGGGAAGAGGTTTAATTTCTTTGAAGTTCTGCATGACTGGGGAGGCGTCAGGAAACTTCCAATCACATCTTACATGGTGGCAGGAGAGAAAGTGAAGGGAAAAGAGTCTTTTATAAAAGTATTAGATTTCTTTCTTTTTTTTTTCTTTTGAGACAGAGTCCAGCTCTGTTGCCCAGGCTGGAGTGCAGTGGCACGATCTCGGCTCACTGCAAGCTCCGCCTTCCGGGTTCACGCCCTTCTCCTGCCTCAGCCTCCCGAGTAGCTGGGACCACAGGTGCCTGCCATCACACCCGGCTAATTTTTCTATTTTTAGTAGAGACGGGGTTTCACTGTGTTAGCCAGGATGGTCTCGATCTCCTGACCTTGTGATCCGCCTGTTTCAGCCTCCCAAAGTGCTGGGATTACAGGTGTGAGCTGCCGCGCTCGGCCAAAATTATTAGATTTCTTGAGATCTCACTCACTATCACGAGAACGACATGGGGGAAAGTGCTCCCATGATCCAATTGCTTCCTACCAGATCCCTCTCTCAATACCTAGGGATTACAATTTGAGATGGGATTTTGATGGGGACACAAAGCCAAACCATATCACTGACTAATAGTTACTTCTTCAGTGATTGTTCTGTGGTGATAAGTATAGGCTACTCTAACAAGGGCAGAAAAAGATAGTGGCTTTTCATGGATGGCTTTTTATTTGGGGGATGGCAATTTTTATATTTAGTTTCTTCTAATCTCCTTCCTTAGCCTCCTATTCTGTACTATTCTTGTACCCTATTCCTCAAAAGATCTTGTTTTCAATAGTAGGCACTGAGTCTATGGAGGGTGTAAAGCCTTCAAGACAAAAATGAAATAAATTTTCCCTGGAAAAATTCCTGGCCCCATTTCAGAAGATGTGAAAGATAATTTTAGTAATGATGTTTAGCCAATCCCCCTTATCCTTTACATTATTTCTCTCTACATATGTCAGGTCTGCCTGTGTAGCCAAATAATTGTTATCACAAAGAATATTTTTCTCAACAGAAAAATATCAATTATTTTCTCTAAACACACATGTAGTGTCTACAAGCATGCGTTTATGGGTTGATTAATTTATTCAACAAATATTGTTACTACCTATGATGTGCCTGGTAACATTTTATGCACTGTGGATGCAGCGGTGAAGAAGTCAAAGTTTCTGCGCTTGTGGAGCTTACATTCTAGAAAAAACAATATCTATGTATCTATCTATATAATATATATCTCCAGGGAGAGAGAGAGAGAGAGAGAGAGTCAAAGAACTCTGTATTTGACTTCTTCCAAGGAATCATATAGTACTTTATATGATAATTGTGAGAAATACTTGTAAGGAATCAAGTACAGGGTTCTTTGACGATATAAAGGACACGTAATTAAGATTGAGAGGTTAAAAAAAAGCCTTTTCATAAAAGTGACATTTACGGTGAGGCAAGAATAGTAAGTACAGCTAGTAAGTAGATGGTCAGAATGACAGGAGAAAACATTTCAGAAAGAGCAAACAGCATGTCTAAAGTCCCTGAGTTGAGAAGGTACTTTATTTAGCAACTGAGAAAGTCTGAGTGTGTAGACTGTACATAAAAAGTTGAAGCATAGCAGGAGGAACAATATAAGGTGGTTGTTACCATTACAGACGGGAGTCAAACTCCATGGGTTTAACTTTTAGTTTTACCAAACTTAATATAAGCACACCTTGTTTCATTATGCTTTGCTTTACTGCAGTTCACAGATGTTGCATTTTTTTTAACAAATTGAAGGTGTGTGATGACTCTGTCTCAATCAAGCATATCAGTACCATTTTTCCAGGAGCATATGCTCACTTCCTATACCTGTGTCACATTTTGGTAATTCTCACAATATTTCAAATTTTTCATTATTATTATATCTGTTATGGTGATCTGTGATCAGTGATCTCTGATGTTACTATTGTAATTGTTTTGAGGCACCAAAAAACACACCTATATAAGGTGGCAAACTTAATAAGTTAATGTTATGTATTTTATGTATTTTTAACTGCTTCAGCAACCAGCTGTTTCTTTCGTTCTCTCCCTCTCCTCAGACCTCTCTATTCTCTGAGACACGGCAATATTAAAATTGTGCCATTTAATATCTGCACAATGGCCTCTAAGTGCTCAAGTGAAGAAAGACTTGCATGTCTCTCACTTTAAATCAAAAGCTAGAAATAATTAAGCTAAATGAGGAGAGCATGTCAAAAGACAAGACAGGCTAGAAGCTAGGCCTCTTGCACCAAAAAGCCGAGTTATAAATGGAAAGAAAATGTTCTTGAAGAAAATTAAAAGTGTTACTCCAGTGAGCACACCAATGATAGCACAGTGAAACAGACTTATTCTTGATATGTAAGAAGTTTTAGTGGTCTACATAGAAGATCAAACCAGAAACAACATTCCTTTAAGCCAAAGTCAAATCCAGGGCAAGGCTCTGCCTTTATGCCTTTATCTTTGCCCATTTACGAAAGCTGAGAGAGGTGAGGAAGCTACAGAAGAAAACCTTGAAGTTAGCAGAGGTTGGTTCGTGAGGTTTAAGGAAAGAAACCATCTCCATAACCTAAAAGTGCAAAGTAAATCAGCAAGCACTTATATACAAGCTACAGGAAGTTATTCCTAAGTTCTAGCTAAAATAATTGACAAAAATGGTTATACTAAGGAACAGATTTTCAATGTAGATAAAACAACCTTATACTGGAGAAAGATGCCATGTAAAATTTTCATAGCTAAAGAGGGTAAATCAATGCCTGACTTCAAAGCTTCAAAGGACAGGTTGACTCTATTGTTAAAAATAAATGCAGCTGATTACTTTATACAGAAGCCAATGCCCAGTCACCATTCTGAAAATCCTAGAGCCTGTATTCTATCTGTACTCTATAATTGGAATAACAAATCCTGGATGACAACACATCCATTTGTAGCATGTTTTACTACATTTTTAAAGCCTACTGTTGAGACTTGATTCTCAAAAAAAAATTTCTTCAAAATACTACTGCTCATTGAGAATGCACCTGGTCACCAAAGAGCTCTGATGGATATATGAAAGGAAATTAATATTGTTTATATGTCTACTAATACAACATCCAATCTGAAGCCCGTAACATGGATCAGTTTTGACTTTCAAGACTCATTATTTGAGAAATACATTTAACTACCATACATAGTCCTTCTTCTGATGTACCTGAGCAAATAAATGGAAAACCTCCTGGAAAGGATTCACCATTTTAAATGCAATGAAGATGATTTATCATTCATGAGAGGAGGTCAAAATGTCAATGTTAACGGGAGTTTGGAAGAAGTTTATTTCAACCCACGTTGATGACTTTGTGGGTTTCAACATGTCAGTGAAGGAAGTACTGGCAGATGTAGTGGAAATAACAAGAGAACTAAAATTAGAAGTGGAACCCAAAGATGTGCCTGAATTACTGCCATCTCATGAGAAAACTGAGTGGATGAGAAGTTGCTTCTTATGGATGAGCAAATAAAGTGGTTTCTTAGGATGGAATCTACTCCTGGTGAAGATGCTGTGAACATTGCTGAAATGGCAACAAAGGGTTTAGAATATTACATAACCTTAGTTAATAAAGCAGTAGTAGGATTTGAGAGGATTGGCTCCAACCATGAAAGAAATTCTACTGTATGTAAAGTGCTATCAAGCAGCATCACTTGCTACAAAAAAATTCATGGAAAGAAATCAATAGATGCAGAAAACTTTATTTTATTTTATTTTTCACTTTTAGGTTCAGAGGTATATGAGCAGTTTTGTTACTTAGATAAATGTGTCATGGGGATTTGTTGTGCAAATTATTTCATTACCCAGGTATTAAGTCTAGTACCCATTAGTTATTTTTCCTGATCCTCTCCCTCCTCCTACCCTTCAATAGGCCCCAGTGTGTGTTTCCCTCTATGTGTCCATGTTTTCTCATTATTTAGCTCCCACTTATAAGTGAGAGCATGTGGTATTTGGCTTTCTGTTTATGCCTTAGTTTGCTAAGGATAATGGCCTCCAGCTCCATCCATGTCTCTGCAAAGGACATGATCTCATTGTCTTTTTAGCAGCATATTATTCCATGGTGTATATGTACTACGTTTTCTGTATCCATATATCATTGATGGACATTTAGGTTGATTCTGTGTCTTTGCTATTGTGGATAGTACTGCAATGAGAATAAGCATGCATGTGTCTTTATAGTAGAATGATTTATATTTTTTGAGTATATACTCAGTAATGGGATTGCTGGGTCAAATGGTATTTTTTTAAGTCTTTGAAGAATTACCACACTGTCATCTACAATGATTGAACTAATTTACACTCTGACCAGCAGTGTGTAAGCATTCCTTTTTCTCTACAACTTCACCAGCATCTGTTGTTTTCTCAGTTTTTAATAATAGCCATTCTGACTGGTGTGAGATGGTATCTCATTGTGGTTTGGATTTGCATTTCTCTAATGAAGAGCTTCTTTTCATATGATTGTTGGATGCATGTATGTCTTATTTTGAAGTGTTTCTGTTCATGTCTTTTGCCCACTTTCTAATGGAGTTTTTTTTTCTTGTAAATTTGTTTAAGTTCCTTGTAGATGCTGGATATTAAACCTTTGTCAGATGCATAGATTGTGATTTTTTCTCCCATTCTGTAGGTTGTTTACTCTGTTGATAGTTTCTTTTGCTGTGCAGAAACTCTTTAGTTTAATTAGATCCCATTTGTCAATTTTTGCTGTTGTTGCTATTGCTTTTGGCATCTTGGTCATGAAATCTTTGCCCAGTTCTATGTCCAGGATGGTATTGCCTAAATTGTCTTACAGGGTTTTTATAGTTTTAGGTTTTACATTTAAGTCTTTAATTAATCTTGAGGGTTGTTTTGTATATGGTTTAAGGAAGGAGTCCAGTTTCAATCTTCTGCATAAGGGTAGCCAGTTATCCCAACACCATTCATTGAATAGAGAATCTTTTCCCCATTGCTTGTTTTTGTCAAGCTTGTCAATGGTCAGATGGTTGTATGTGTGCAGTCTGATTTCTGGGTTCTCAATTTTTTTCCCATTAGTCTATTTGTCTGTTTTTGTACCAGTAATATGCTGTTTTGGTTAGTGCAGACCTGCAGTATAGTTTGAAGTCTGGTAGTGTAATGTCTCCAGCTTTGTTCTTTTTGCTTAGAATTGCATTAACTATTCAAGCTCTTTTTGGTTCCATATGAATTTTAACATTGTTTCTTCTAGTTTTGTGAAGAATCTCAATGATTGCTTAATAAGAATAGCATTGAATTTAGGTAGTATGGACATTTTATCGATATTGTTTTTTCTGATCTATGAGCATGGAATGTTTTTCCATTTTTTTTTGGTCTCATCTCTGATTTCTTTGAGCAGTGTTTTGTAGTTCTCTTTGTAGAGACCTTTCACCTGTCTAGTCAGCTGTATTCCTAGGTATTCTATTCTTTTTTGTGGCAATTGTTATCTTATTTTATAAAGTTGCCACAGGCACACCACCCTGATCAGCAGCAATCAACATTTAGGCAAGAACTTCTACCAGCAAATAGATTATGATTTGCTGAAGGATCTGATGATCGTTGGTATTTTTTAGAAATAAAGCATTTTAAAATTAAAATATGTACTTTTTTTAGACATAATGTTCTTGCACACAATAGGCTATAGTATCGTGTAAGCTTAATGGTTTTTTTTTTTTTTTTTTTTTTTTTTTTTTTTGAGGCAGAGCCTCGCACTCTTGCCCAGGCTGGAGTGCAGTGGCGCAATCTCGGCTCACTGCAACCTCCACCTCCCAGCTTCAAGGGATTCTCCTGCCTCAGCCTCCCAAGTAGCTGGGACTACAGGTGCCCGCCATTACGCCCATCTATTTTTTTGTATTTTTAGTAGAGATGGGGTTTCACTATGTTGGCCAAGCTTAACTTTTACATGCATTGGGAAATCAAAAAAATTATGTGACTCACTTTATTGCAATATCCACTTTATTGCTAGGTGGTCTAGAACTGGGGAACCCACAATATCTCTGAGGTATGTTGGTATTTACGGTACCTTGACAAGTTATATACATCTCTACTTTAGTTTTCTCATCTGTAAATGGGGATGATTTTAATGGTAATGACCTCATAGGGTTTTAGTGACTACTAAATGAGATATGTAAAGCAGTTACAAAAATGCCTGTCATATAATAAGCATTAGCTACTTGTACTATAAATGTTTTGGAAACCCCTCCCAGAAACAATTTGCATCTATGTGTCCCCTCTTTTCTGGGCATCAATACATGGAAATTTGACTCATGTACACAATATATACAATTTGACTCATAGGAAAAAAAAAAAAGCTCTTTTTAATCAAGTCCCTGTCACCCTATGGAAACAAAGGAGACTCAGGCTCAAACAACCTGTTTGTAATAATCTAAGTCTATATCATAGGTCTATAGATTATAATATCACTGCCTTTCCAGCTAATTTCCTCAACTCTTCAGCTAGTATTCAAGTTTGTATCAGTTTCTATTGCCCTTTGGACTTGGAGGGTATATGCTTTCTTGGATGTGGAGAAAATTTACCTTCCTATCTCACATCAGGCATAAGCTTTGGTGAACTCAAGTATACTTAAGCTATACTTTTACATTTTTGATGAAAGACAGGGCCAATTCTTTGTTCGTGGAGCAATATAATTACTCTGGGATTTAAACTTGAACTCATACCATTTCGGCAGGCAGGAAGATAGGCAGTATTTCCCAGAAGTCCTGTAATAACAAAAAGATTATTTTTTATTTGACTTACATTATGCTGGGGTATCATTTGCTCCTTTAAACCTTAATGATTTGTTCTCAGAAATACTTATATTTCAAGCTTAGATTACTCTATTTTTTACTGATTTAGAATATAAAATCATAATTCAATTGATGTAGAGACTTTAAACACCTAGGAGATGTTAAAGGCCATTTTCAATAAATATTAAGTATTTACAAAGTCTAAGGAATTTGTCTAACTCTCTGTATAATACAAAGATTAAAAAAGCATATCTCTTGACCTTAAGAAGACTACCTTCTAGAAAGGAAGTGTAAGGCAGAGCACAAATAACTATACCAGTAGGCATAATATGAAGAGAGTGAAAGGAAGGTTCTGATGAGTATTCAACTGAATAAATAAATAAAAAATTTTGAATGTAGGAAGTATAAACCAAACCACAGATGAAGTAAAATTTGCAATATGCTTTTAAAGACTGAGTAAAAAATCAATAGGCAGAAGTGACAAGGAAGGTAATTATAGGTAAACACTATTGAATAAAGGAATAAAGACAGAAATGAAATCAAAAGGTGTGCTTAGAGAATTTGGAATAGTTATTTTAGGTTGGAACATAGAATATGTGAATACAAGCTAAGAAATAAGCATAGAAAGGCTCACTGTGTCCAGATTATTGAGCACCTTGAATTTCACATTGAGTAGTTTGAAGTTAATTACTAAAGATTTCAGAAAGTTTATAAGCAGTGACATAGTTATAAGTGTACCTTAAGATATCTCAAGCAGTGATATGTAGCATAGTTTGGACCAGGGGATAACTGGACAGAGAGAAGCAGTAATAGTCTAGGGGTGATAAGACATTAGGGTTGGACTGGTATGGTAGCGGAGATCATGGAATCAGCCTTTGCAGAGGTAGAATTTGTGGATATTCATGAGTGATTTTATGTAGGAAGTTAGGGAAAAGGATGTATAAGGTGACTATTGTTTTGTTCTAGCAATAGTGTGGGAATTGTGGTACCATTATTACCTAATGCTAGATGACGAGTTAGTGGGTGCAGCGCACCAGCATGGCACATGTATACATATGTAACTAACCTGCACAATGTGCACATGTACCCTAAAACTTACAGTATAATAAAAAAAAAAGAAAAAAAAATAAATAAATAAAAAGGAATTTCTTGCTTTTTGTATGGTGCTTACCATAACATCACACTTGACTAGTTTCTTAAGAAACAAAGAGCCAATATATGGTAATTGTTCAGAGTAAAGACTCTGAAGCATAATTTTTCTGGATTCAAATCCTGGTTCCACTGCTTCCCAGTTTTGTGACCATGAAAAAGTTGTGTAAACTCTCCAGTCTTCAGCTTCCTTCAGCTGAAGAATGAGAGTATTGAAAATAAACAGTACGTACATCAGAATGTTGCTGTGAAGATTAAGTTATAATTAATAAAAGTGTTTAGGATATTACCTGGCATTTAAATTATTATTTAAGAACATGGCAAATGTCTTATTAAGAAGTATGTTTATGTGTTGCACTCAAACCAATAACACACAGAATATGTGTTAATATAGGAAGTTACTTTGGAGATACTAAGAATCAGCACTTGCTCATATGAGAGACACTATCACATACATTATACACGTTAAAAACCATTTTGATGAAAAAATATGAATGAGAAAAAAAGTAACAATACGCAGGAGTTAAAGATGAGCTGTAAATATTTTCCATGAAGCTCCTTTAAAGCCCAAACTCTTTTCCCTGGTATAGAATGTCACAAGCACTTACTGTCTATTTTGCATATTAAAACTCAACGACAAATTGCTTCCCCACTACCACTAACTTTAAAAAATTTGAAGTGCAAGGGTTAATAAACTTAAACATTTAAAGAGTAATGAAATGGACTGTTTTCCCTTTCCATCTGGCTTTTATCAATTGTAAGTCAGTTTCATAAGGACAGCTACACAATCAAAGCAAGCAATCTTCCTAGTGAGATAATTCAATTTTATAAATGAATTACTTATGTTCCTATAAGTAAATACATTTCTATGCATGAGGATATTGGCTGCTGTCAATGAGATAATCAAATCCAGGGGAAAAGGCTATTTTTGTAAACACTTTAAACTCAAAAAGGCCCCAAATTTCTGGGGTATGATATATTCAATCAGAAACATTTCATTCTTACAGAAAGAGCAAGTTGGAAAAAAGATTTTTAGCACAGAGACACAAGGTCAACAGAACAGACATCAGAAGAGAGCCATTTGTTTTGTTAGAGAAATCAAGTGAGCAAAAAGAAAGAAAAAAAAAACCTTGCTATTCTACACAACTTATACGTCTGGAAAACATGTACTCATGCCAAAAGAAATTAAACGTTACCCAGGCAGGTGAATATAATCTCTAAAAGACAGCACAAAATAGAGAAAAGAGCTTTGGAGTCTGACAAACTTGGACATGAATCCTGGCTCTGCTGCTTGCTTACCAACTGTGTGACTTTGAGCAATTTACTTAACTTCCTTGGTCTTCACTCTCTTCACTTGTATAATGGAGGAAATAACACCTACTTTTCAAGGTTAGACCAACGACCAAGAAGTAACATATCTGTAAATTACCTAGTGTAGTGCCTGGTACATAGAAGGTACCTAGAAAAATAGTAACTTATCAAATGAGTTCTTTGTTTGCTATAGAATTTAACACAAGTAACCTAACTTCTTGGCCTTTTTCTGCCTTCTGTGAAGTGAACAAAACGATGAGTTATTTAAGTAGGACATTTGTTGATACACATATAATGATGCATATGCAGGGAATGTTAGTTTATGTATGTTAACATACACAGTCATACCTTAAGTTAGTGGAGCGATTTTCATTTTCTCTGGAGCTTTCCTGTACATTTAATTATGTTATTCATACAACAAACTTGTGAGTTTGACAGGGCAGGTATTTCTATCCCCATTTAACATATCAATAAATAAATAAATCTTGGATAGATTACTTCCTGTTTGTCCAAATACGCACAACTGAGACAAGAATTTAGTGCTCTCTTATAACAGAGTGACACATCTTAAATGCCCTGATTGCTATTTTAATGCAACAAATCTTCTGTTTTGGCTTTGCATGAAATTCCTCATTTTTTATCCTTTAAAATCAGAAAAGTACATTGAGATCAGCTGTTAAAAGATTTTAAACAAATGTAAGCTACTATTGCATTGAAAAAAATTATAAAACTGTTTTTTTTTTTTAAAAAAGAGTATCCCATGCTCATTGTATAAGTCAAATGGCACAAAGATACCTAAAAATTGCTATAGCATCTCGGTTAACATGTTAGTAATTAATGCTGAGAGTCTAGCCATATTTCTATATCTGTTTTCTTTCTATACCTGTTTTGAGCATATCCTTAGCTATTTTCTGGTGCTCAATGACAAAATTCCAATGTAATTATCCTAGGATAAGAGTTACAAATACATAATGGAGAAGTGTTAGCTTACCTAATAAAAGCATTTATAGTATTTTAAGAGGTTTGATTTTAACTTTCTAGAAGTAAAATTTTATAAACATTACTATTATTTTTTATTGATACATAATAATTGTACATATTTATGGGGCACATACGATATTTTGATATATGCATACAATGTGTAAGGATCAAATCAGGCTATTCAGGATATTCATCACCTAGAACATTTATTATTTCTTTGCAATGGAAACATTTCAGGTCTTCTTTTCTAGCTATTTAAAAATATACAATATAGTGTTAACTACAGTCACCCTACTGTGCTATTGAACACTAGAAGTTATTTCTTCTAACTAACTGTATATTTCTACCCATTACTCAAAGCTAACTGTATATTTCTACCCCTTACTCAATTCTTCTTCATCCCCCTTCTAACCTTCGTTCAGCTTCTCAGCCTCTGGTAACTATCAGTCTACTCTTTATGCTATCAACTTTTTTAGCTCCCACATATGAGTGACAATATGAGATATTGTCTTTCTATGTCTGGTTTATTTCACTTAACATAATGACCTCTAGCTTCATTTATGTTGCTGAAAATGACATGATCGCATTTGTTTTTATTGCCAAATAGTATTCCATTGTATACATACGTACCACATTTTCTTTACCCATTATTCTGTTGGTGGGAACTTATTTGATTCCATATCTTGGCTATTGGCAATTCTGCTGCAATAAACATGGGAGTGTAGATATCTCTTTGATATGCTGATTTCATTTTTTTGATAAATACATAGTAGTGAAATTGTTGGATCATATGGTATCACTGTTTATTTATTTATTGAGAAATCCTTATACTGTTTTCCACAATGACTGTACTAATTTACTTTCCCACCAACAGTGCATGAGTTTACTTTTCCTCACATCCTGGACAGAATCTGTCATATTTTGTCTTTTTATTAATAGCAATTCTAACCAGGATAGGATAATATTTGCATTTTGTTGATGATTTGTAATGTTAAGGTTTTTGTTCATGTACTTGTCGACTATTTGCATGTCTTCGTTTTAGAAATGTCTACTCAGATCTTTGCCCAGTTTTTAATGGGACTTTTTTTTTTTTTTTGGTGTTGGGTTGTTCAAGTTCCTTGCATATTCTGGCTATTGGTTCCTTGTTGAATGCACAGTTTGCACATATTTTTCTCATTCTGCAGGTTGTCTTTTCACTCTGTTAATTGTTTGCTTTGCTGTGTGAAAGCTTTATTTTGATATTATTTTAAATTAGCCTAGACAGAGAATCAGGAGACCTAGGTGTGCTTCCTCTAGCTATTTACCGGATTATAAATAAATAACTTATCATAGGCTCCAATTTCCCCATTGGTGCAATAAGGAAGTTCACTTTAACCCCTAAATTAAATGAGCCTATGGGGCACTAGTTGTCTTAGTTCATCTGTGCTGCTACAAAAAATTACTAGAGACTGGGTAATTTATAAAGAACATAAATTTATTTTTCTCAGTTCTGGAGGCTGAAAGGTGTAAGATCAAGGAACTAGCAGGTTCAGTTATCTGAAAAAGGCTGCTGTCTACTTCTAAAGTAGCATTTTGTTGTTCCATCCTCAAGAGGAAGGAATGCTATGTCCTTACATGGTGTAAGGTAGACAGGAAAAAAGCTGAACTCTGCAGGAAGACTCGTTCATAATGGCCTTAATCTCATTAACAAGAAGAGGGTCCCTCATGACCTAACAACCTCTTAAAGGCCATACCTCTTAATACCATCACATTTGCCATTAAGTTTCAACACTTGAATTTTGGAGAGGACACATTCCAACTATAGCATCAGTAAAATATTATTTATACTATTTAATAAAATGTACTTATAAAGCCAATATTTTCCACATTAGACAGAGTTTCATAAGTTTTAAATCTCAATTAATAAAAACACTCAAATTTTTAGAAATGATGTGTAAATTTCTGGTAATTGAGTGTTGTGATAACAGGAATATCTAAAAATGTTCATTTTAGCTCCTTTGTGGAAAATTATCATTCTCTCTCTCTCTCTCCATATATATATGTATATATATATATATATATATATGTGTGTGTGTGTGTGTATATATATATATATGAGTTTACTTATCTTTAATTGTAAGTATAGTTTAGAAGTGAACTGAATTGTAAGCAGTTCCAAAAGGAAACATCATACAACAGATGTATTCTGACTTATAATTAAGAATATAATTGGAATCTTCTTACAAAGAAGATGCAATGCAGATAATAGACTTTTTTATATTTAAGGAAGGCTCAATAAGGAGGATGACTGTTATGCACTGGAGAAACAGGAAGTAGATCCAAGCAATTAAATACCCTTGTTGACTGGCTTCTATTGCCTACTGTAGAAGACAGGGTACTACTGTGAGAAAGGGAATAATATAACACAAAAGGGGTTTCTTTATCATTCATTTATCTGCCTTCTTTCACTCAATATATTACGAATACATAGAATAAAAATAGAAGTGAAAATAACTGTCAAGTTTGGGGGAGAGTAGGTGAAAACTATAGCTCACATTTAAAAAAGATCACAAGATGAGAAGCCATTAAACGGATTTGGACTTAAACAAATTAGCATGTTTTTAGCTCTAGAATAAAAGGCCAAGCAAATAGTAAGAATGTGAGTTTGAATCCTGGCTCCGCCATTTATGTTCCATGTTACCATGTACATATTATCATTCTCAAACTCAGTTCTCTCATTGGTACAATGGTCATATTTATAGTACAGGACTATGATAAGGATTAAGTAAGGCAATGACACAACATGCTTAACATAGCACCTAGCACATGTTAAGAACTCAATAAATATTAGATATCATGGCAGAGACATTTTACAGCCTACCAAAAAATTGATGTGCTTCTCTACATTTCCTAGCCTTTTTGTAGTTAGATAATGTTATGTTGTACTATAAGTTCTGGCCCATCAGCTGTAAGTGAAAGTGATGTGTATTACTTCTGGACCTAAATCTAGTAATGGTGCACGTGAATTCTTCATGTTCATCTGCTCTTCTACCTGTTGATCATGCAGTCCATGTGTTTCAGACAGTGCAGTTATAAGACTGTAGAACCTCTGCCAATCTGGTCAGTAAATAACTGAATAAGAAGCAGAGGCCCCTGGCAATCCATATTGAATTTGTAGGATGAGTGAGAAATAAATTTGTATTTTTATTTATTAATTTTTATTATTTTTTCTTTTATTATTATACTTTAAGTTTTAGGGTACATATGCACATTGTGCAGGTTAGTTACATATGTATACATGTGCCACGCTGGTGCGCTGCACCCACTAACTCGTCATCTAGCATTAGGTATATCTCCCAGTGCTATCCCTCCCCCCTCCCCCCACCCCACAACAGTCCCCAGAGTGTGATGTTCCCCTTCCTGTGTCCATGTGATCTCATTGTTCAATTCCCACCTATGAGTGAGAATATGCGGTGTTTGGTTTTTTGTTCTTGCGATAGTTTACTGAGAATGATGATTTCCAATTTCATCCATGTCCCTGCAGGTTGTTGTTAGACAGCATAGTATACTCTGTCTGGCCTAATTTAGTTATTGTAGTTATCATCACATTTTTAACCGTCAAGTCTGGGTAATGATACAGTGAAAAGTAACAAGTGATGGAACATGAACATATGTGGGTTCCAGATTTGTTTTTCTTATTAACTATGTCACTGGAGACAAGTCATTAAAACTGTTCTTTTCCTTGATTAATATGCCTACCAAATGGAGAAAATATTATTACTTCTTCCTCACAATATTTTTGTGAGGATAAAATATAGATAAACATCCTGTGAAAGTCAAACATTGTGGAAATATGAAGGATTGTTTTTGTTCTTTGACTTGAGGATATTAAATGTTTATGAAATACTTTAGAGGGAACCAAAAGGGAGTAGCTGTACATAAAAATGTATACTAAATTTGATCTTCTCCTGTGTCTGTTCATGTTTGTTTTTTTACTTTCTTATAATACAAATGAATTGTTTAAACCATAAAGGAAGGATCACAGGAAAGTTGACATTACATGGTATTAGGACAAGAAATATAATCTTGCGTAAGGTTTAATTTACCTACCTCTTAGTATTATAGAATACTACAACTAATAATTTACTTTAGATATTATTAATATACTCCAACAGCTTCAATTTTATATATGACTGAATTTTAGCCAAGTCACAAATGGTAGTTTTTGAATAACTACTAGATAATACTGTTTCTGTCACAATGCTATTATAATTAATTTTATCACTTTTAAAATTTATTATGTGTTTTAATGTCCATTGTATTTTATTACAGACAATTTATCTACTCTCCTGAAGATGCTGCAACTTATAAGCCATATCTATAGGAATTAATTTATTGATAAAATTATTGGTCTTTTATAAATAGACAAACCAGATAATGTAAAATCTTGAATGACAAGTTATCTTTATGAGTATGAATTAACTTATTCTAATTAATAAATAACCTCAAGCCTAACAAAAATACATGTCTTTATTTTTTTCAAAGTTCATGTAACATATTTGGCAGCATGCTGATTAAATAAGAAAATATCCTCTTAAAATAAATAAAATATTTTATAAGAAGTAGTCACTTTTTAAGAAATTATACATAGTGTGGAGTTTAATTGAGAGTTTAAACAGATATCATGTATTGAAAGCTACAAATATATATCTCTTATGAACTAATGGGACAATTTTCTTTTATATAGGTAACACATATCCAATTAAAGGAGTAGAGAAACAGAAATAAATTAATAAGAACAATACACTTATTTTCCCATAATATCACCATTTTCCCAAAGAATTACTGTTGTCCTTTAAAGTGTTTGGTTTTCATCAGCTTCTTTTAATGCCAGATTGCTTATGAATTAAACCATGAAAAAATACGCAGAAACAACCCCAGGGATGTCTCTGCCTTGGGAAATAATTGTGGTCGACATGGACTTTAAAAGAATAGCCATTCAGAGTCACCTTTTAAAATAGACTCAAGAGACTACATTAAAATTAAACACATTTAATGATTAATTATTTCAATTTGTGAAGTTATGTTCTTAACTCTATTTACTACCTTATCCACAGAGAAACAAAGGCTCTAAAGTCCTGTTTCAGTTCTCCATAGTGATTCAGAGTGGCAGTACTTTATAATGTTTGATGCTTTTATATCTCTATAGACTTGACTTCATACAGGTCTGACCATTGATGATTGTCTTTATTCTTACAGTATAGTATCTTTTGGATTAGAATATCATATAAGGGAAGGGTGGCTCGCAAGATGGCTGAATAGGACAGCTCCATTCTGCAGCTCCCAGCAAGATCAATGCAGAAGGTGGGTGATTTCTGCATTTCCAACTGAGGTACCTGGCTCATTTCATTGGGACTGGTTAGACAGTGGGAACAGCCCACTGAGGGCAAGCTAAAGCAGGGTGGGGCATTGCTTCACTGGGGAAGTGCCAGAGGTCAAGGAACTCCCTGCCCTAGCCAAGGGAAGCCATGAGGGACTGTGCCATGATGAATGGTGCATTCCAGCCCAGACACTATGCTTTTCCCACGGTCTTCACAACCAGCAGACTGGGAGACTCCCTCTGGTGCCTACGCCACCAGGACCATGGGTTTCAAGCACAAATCTGGGCAGCCATTTGGGCAGACACTGAGCTAGTTGCAGGAGTTTTTTCTTCATACCCCAGTGGTGCGTGGAATGCCAGCGAGACAGAACCGTTCACTCCCCTGGAAAGGGGACAGAAGCCAGGGAGCCAAGTTGTCTAGTTCAGTGGTTCCCCCCTCCACAGAGCCCAGCAAGCTAAGATCCACTGGCTTGAAATTCTCACTGCCAGCACAGTGGCCTGAAGTCAACCTGGGATGCTTGAGCTTGGTGGCGGGAGAGGTGTCCACCATTACTGAGGCTTGAGTAGGCAGTTTTTGCCACACTGTGTAAACAAAGATGCCGGGAAGTTTGAAATGGACGGAGCCCACTGAAGCTGGGAAAAGCTGCTGTAGCCGGACTGCCTATCTAGATTCTTCATCTCTGGGCAGGGCATCTCTGAAAGAAAGGCAGCAGCACCAGTCAGGGGCTTATAGATAAAACTCCCATCTCCCTGAGACAGAGCACCTGGGGGAAGGGGCAACTGTGAGCGCAGCTTCAGCAGACTTAACGTTCCTGCCTGCCAGCTATGAAGAGAGCAACAGATCTCCCAGCGTAGTGTTTGAGCTCTGCTAAGGGGCAGACTGCCTCCTCAAGTGGGTCCCTGATCCCTGTGCCTCCTGACTGGGAGACACCTCCCAGCAGGGGTCAACAGACACCTCATACAGGAGAGCTCTGGCTGGCATCTAGGGGGTGCCCCACTGGGACGAAGCTTCCAGAAGAAAGAGCAGGCAGCAATCTTTGCTGTTAGGCAACCTCTGCTCATGATAACCAGGCAAACAGGATCTGGAGTGGACCTCCAGCAAACTCCAGCAGACCTGCAGAAGAGGGACTTTACTGGTAGAAGGAAAACTAACAAACAGAAAGGAATAGCACCAACATCAACAAAAATTACGTCCACATGGAAACCTCATCCAAAGGTAACCAACAACAAAGACCAAAGGTAGATAAATCCACGAAGATGAGGAAAAACCAGCACAAAAAAGCTGAAAATTCCAAAAACCAGAATGCCTCTTTTCTTCAAAGGATTGCAACTCCTCACCAGCAAGGGAACAAAACTGGATGGAGAATGAGTTTGACAAATTGACAGAAGTAGGCTTCAGAAGGTGGACAATAACAAACTCCTCCAAGCTAAAGGAGCGTGTTCTAACCCAATGCAAGGAAGCAACGAACCTTGCAAAAAGGTTAGAGAAATTGCTAACTAGAATAACCAGTTTAGAAAAGAACAAAAATGACCTGATGGAGCTGAAAAACACAGCACAAGAACTTCGTGAAGCATACACCAGTATCAGCGGCCGAATCAATCAAGCAGAACAAAGGACATCAGAGATTGAAGATCAACTTAATGAAATAAAGCGTGAAGACAAAATTAGAGAAAAATGAATGAAAAGGAACAAACAAAGGCTCCAAGAAATATGGGACTATGTGAAAAGACAAAACCTACATTTGATTGGTGTACCTGAAAGTAATGGGGAGAATGGAACCAAGTTGGAAAACACACTGCAGGATATTGTCCAGGAGAACTTGTCCAACTTAGCAAGACATGCCAACATTCAAACTCAGGAAATACAAGAACACCACAAAGATACTCCTCGAAAAGAGCAACCCCAGGACACATAATCTTCAGATTCACCAAGGTTGAAATGAAGGAAAAAAATGTTAAGGGCAGCCAGAGAGAAAGATCAGGTTACCCACAAAGGGAAGCCCATCAGACTAACAGCAGATCTCTCAGCAGAAACCACACAAGCCAGAAGATAGTGGGGGCCAGTATTCAACATTCTTAAAGAAAATAATTTTCAACCCAGAATTTCATATACAGCTAAACTAAGCTTCATAAGTGAAGGAGAAATAAAATCCTTCACAGACAAGCAAATGCTGAGAGATTTACTCACCACCAGTCCTACATTACAAGAGCTCCTGAAGGAAGCACTAAATATGGAAAGGAAAAACCAGTACCAGCCACTGAAAAAACATGTCAAATGGTAAAGACCACTGAAACTATGAAGAAACTGCAGGAATTAATGGCAAAAATAATCAGCTGGCATCATAATGACAGAATCAAATTGACACATAACAATATTAACCTTAAATGTAATGGGCTAAATGCCCCAATTAAAAGACACAGACTAGCCAACTGAATAAAGACTCAAGACCCATCAGTGTGCTGTATTCAGGAGACCTATCTCACATGCAAAGACACACATAGGCTCAAAATAAAGGGATGGAGGAAGATTTACCAAGCAAATGGAAAGCAAAAAAAAAGCAGGGGTTGCAATCCTAGTCTCAGATAAAACAGACTTTAAACCAAAAAAGATAAAAAAGATGAAGAAGGGCATTACATAATGGTAAAGGGATCAGTGCAACAAGAAGAACTAACTATCCTAAATACATGTGCACCCATACAGGAGCACCCAGGTTCATAAAGCAAGTTCCTAGAGACCTACAATGAAACTTAGACTCCCACACAATAATAGTGGAAGACTTTAACACCCTACTGTCAATATTAGACAGATCAATGAGACATAAAATTAACAAGGATGTTCAGGACATGAACTCAGCTCTGGACCAGGCAGACCTAATAAACATCTACAGAAGTCTCCACCCCACATGAACAGAATATACATTCTTCTCAGCACCACATCACACTTATTCTAAAATCAACCACATAATTGGAAGTAAAACACTGCTCAGCAAATGCAAAAGAACAGAAATCATAAAAAACATTCTTAGAGACCACAGTGCAATCAAATTAGAACTCCGGATTAAGAAACTCACTCAAAACCACACAACTACATGGAAACTGAACGACCTGTTCCTGAATGACTACTGGGTAAATAACGAAAAAAAGGCTAAAATAAACAAGTTATTTGAAACCAGTGAGAACAAAGACACAATGTACCAGAATCTATGGGACACAACTAAAGCAGTGTATAGAGGGAAATTTATAGCACCAAATGCCCACAGGAGAAAGCAGGAAAGATCTTAAATCGACACCCTAACATCACAATTAAAAGAACTACAGAAGAAAGAGCAAACACATTCAAAAGCTAGCAGAAGGCAAGAAATAACTAAGATCAGAGCAGAACTGAAGGAGATAGAGACACACACAAAAAAACTCTTAAACAAAGCAATGAATCCAGTAGCTGCTTTTTTGAAAAGATCAGGCCTGGTGCAGTGGCTCAAGCCTGTAATCCCAGCACTTTGGGAGGCCGAGGCGGGCGGATCACGAGGTCAGGAGATCGAGACCATCCTGGCTAACACGGTGAAACCCCATCTCTACTAAAAATACAAAAAAATTAGCCAGGTGTGGTAGCGGGCGCCTGTAGTCCCAGCTACTCAGGAGACTGAGGCAGGAGAATGGCATGAACCCAGGAGACAGAGCTTGCAGTGAGCCGAGATTGCGCCACTGCACTCCAGCCTGGGCGACAGAGCAATACTCCATTTCAAAAAAAAAAAAAAAAGAAAAGAAAAGATCAACAAAATAGACCGCTAGCAAGACTAATAAAGAAAAAAAGAGAGGAGAATCAAATAGACACAATAAGAAATGATATCACCACTGATCGCACAAAAATACAAACTGACATCACGGAATGCTATAAACACATCTATGCAAATAAACTAGAAAATATAGAAGAAATTGATAAATTCCTGGATACATACACCCTCCCAAGATTAAACCAGGAAGAAGTTGAATCTCTGAATAGACCAATAACAAGTTCTGAAATTGTGGCAGTAATTAATAGCCCAAAAAAAGCCCAGGACCAGACGGATTCACAGCCAAATTATACCAGAGGTAGAAAGAGCAGCTGGTACCATTCTTTCTGAAACTATTCCAAACAATAGAAAAAGACGAACTCTTCCCTAACTCATTATATGAGGCCAGCATCATCCTGATACCAAAACCTGGCAGAGACACAATGAAAAAAGAAAATTTCCAGGACAATATCCCTGATTAACATTGATGTGAAAATACTCAATAAAATGCTGGCAAACCAAATCCAGCAGCACATCAAAAAGCTTATCCACCACAGTCAAGTTGGCTTCATCCCTGGGATGCAAGGCTGGTTCAACATATGCAAATCAATAAATGTAATCCATTATGTAAACAGAACCAGCGACAAGAACCACATAGGCCTTTGATAAAATTCAATACCCCTTCATGCTAAACACTCTCAATAAACTAGGTATTGGTGGAACATATCTCAAAATATTAAGAGCTATTTATGACAAATATATAGCCAATATCATATTGAATGGGAAAAAGCTGGAAGAATTCCCTTTGAAAAGTGGCACAAGACAAGGATGCCCTCTCACACCACTCCTATTCAACATAGTGTTGGAAGTTCTGGCCAGGGCAATCAGGCAAGAGAAGGAAATAAAAGATACTCAAATAGGAAGACAGAAAGTTAAATTATCTCTGTGTGCAGATGACAAAATTTTATATTTAGAAAACCCCATTGTCTCAGCCCAAAATCTCCTTGAGCTGATAAGCATATTCAGCAGTCTCAGGATACAAAATCAGTGTGCAGAAATCACAAACATCCCTATACACCAATAATAGAAAGAACGCCAAATCATGATTGAACTCCCATTCACAATTGCTACAAAGAGAAAAAAATACCTAGGAATATAACTTACAAAGGATGTGAAGGACTTCATCAAGGAGAACTACAAACCACTGCTCAAGGAAATAAGAGAGGACACAAACAAATGCAGAAACATTCCATGCTTATGGATAGGAAGAATCAATATCGTGAAAACGGCCATACTGCCCAAAGTAATTTATAGATTCAATGCTATCCCCATCAAGCTACCATGGATTTTCTTCACAGAATTAGAAAAAACTACTTTAAATTTCATATGGAACAAAAAAGAGACCGTATAGACATGACAATCCTAATCAAAAAGAACAAAGCTGGAGGCATCACGCTACCTGACTTCAAACTATACTACAAGGCTACAGTAACCAAAACAACATGGTACTGGTACCAAAACAGATATATAGACCAATGGAACAGAACAGAGGCCTCAGAAATAACACCACACATCTACAGCCATCTGATCTTTGACAAACCTGACCAAAACAAGCAATGGGGAAAGGATTCCCTGTTTAATAAATGGTGTTGGGAAAACTGGCTAGCCATATGCAGAAAACTGAAATTGGACCCCTTCCTTACACTTTATACAAAAATTAACTCCAGATGGATTAAAGACTTATATGTAAGACCTAAAACAATAAAAGCCTTAGAAGAAAACCCAGGCATTACCATTCAGGACATAGGCATGGGCACAGTCTTCATGACTAAAACACCAAAAGCAATGGCAACAAAAGCCAAAATTGACAAATCAGACCTAATTAAACTAAAGAGCTTCTGCTCAGCAAAACAAACTATCATCAGAGTGAACAGGCAACCTACAGAATGGGAGAAAATTTTTGCAATCTATCCATCTGATGAAGGGCTAATATCCAAAATCTGCAAAGAACTTCAACAAATTTACAAGAAAAAAATGCATAAAAAAGTGGGTGAAGGATATGAACAGACAATTCTCAAAAGAAGACATTTATGCAGCCAACAAACATATGAAAAAAAGCTCATCATCACTGGTCATTAGAGAAATGCAAATCAAAACCACAATGAGATACCATCTCATGCCAGTTAAAATAGCGATCATTAAAAAGTTATGAAACAACAGATGCTGGAGAAGATGTGGAGAAATACAAACACTTTTACACTTTTGGTTGGAGTGTACACTAGTTCAACCATTGTGGAAGACAGTGTGGCGATTCCTCAAGAATCTAGAACCAGAAATACCATTTGACCCAGCAATCCCATTACTGGGTATATACCCAAAGGATTATAAATCATTCTCCTATAAAGACACATGCACATGTATGTTTATTGCAGCACTGTTCGCAATAGGAAAGACTTGGAACTAATCCAAATGTCCATCAATGATAGACTGGATAAAGAAAATGTGGCACATATACACCATGGAATACTGTGCAGCCATAAAACAGGATGAATTCATGTCCTCTGTAGGGGCATGGATGAAGCAGGAAACCATCATTCTCAGCAAACTAACACAGGAAGAGAAAACCAAACACTGCATGTTCTCACTCATATGTGGGAGTTGAACAATGAGAACATATGGACACAGGGAGGGGAACATCACACACCCGGGCCTGGTGCAGGGTAGGGGGCTGCAAAGGGATAGCATTAGAAGAAATACCTAATGTAGATGATGGTTTGATGGGTGCAGCAAACCACGATGGCATGTGTATACCTATGCAACAAACCTGCACGTTCTGCACATGTATCCCAGAAATTAAAGTGTAATAAAAAAGAAGAACATCATATAAGGAAAGATAAAGGAAACAGTGAAGTTTGAATTCTTGTGAGAATTTTGTTATATCTTTAAGCTTATTTTGCCATGTCTGTATGTCTGCATCAAGAGGAGTCAGTCTTATGTAATTCAAAGGGTACTGAACCCAGACACCTTCACTTTTAGCCACCCTCTCTTAGCAACTATCTGATTTGAGCAAGTCATTAATATATCTGGGCTTTGTTTTTATTATCTCTTTTGTCATTTTGCTCCTTTTCTGTTCAATGAGTCAATGACCTTTATAAAATATGTACATTTAACTTAGCAGATAAAAGTGCTGTGTTCCTCTTCTCTTGTCATTTGAATTTTGCCTGTTTTACTCATATTTTCTTCTCTTAGTGCAGAACTATGAGTTGTAACTACTGTTCAAAAGGTGTAGAAAAGAAGAGGAAAGGCTCTTTTTTTTTTTTTTTTTTGGCAAGTCTGTGAGGGACTTGACCAAAGAGAAAAGGAAAACAACAATAACAACAACAACAACAACAAAATGTAATGGGTAAAATATAGAGTTAATATTATTCCCCCTCAGCAACAAGATTTTTTTTTAATTGCTGGATCTAAAAAAATAAAAACTGTGGGCCTCTTTATGCAAAAGTAGTTGTCCAAAATCTTTAAATATTCTTTTATGATTTTCTTTCAATAGAGTCTACAACCTGCTCTCAAATACTCTTTCTGGTCATGTTACTTGTGACTTTTTCATTTAGACTCTTTTTCCAACCAAATTATGTCTTCAGTGTACATGATAATGTACTTATTACCTTTTATCTTGCTATTTCCACTACCTTGGACACCTCCTAATCAAATATCACTTATTCTTCCTAACTTCAAGTGGCTAAAAATCATTTAAAGAATCCAGTCGCTATTCTTACATAAGCTGAAATATGGATCTGTAGTTATCAGAAACTTTACCAGAAGTTGGCCTTTTTCTCCAAATTTTACTTTTCTCTATCTACTCCCACTGCCGTGGGATTAGGATAAGAGGTTGTCTGGTTTTCTAAGAGGGTGTCTGCTTTTCTAATACCATCTTTGAACTTCAGCAGTTCTTTCCTGTAAAGATAAAATAATTAATTTTTGTGTGTGTGTGTGTTTTTTTTACTAAGTTAACATTGCTGAATATCATAAAAATGGCAGAAACAGTGTTGCATAAAAGCTAGTCATATGGAATTAGAATACAATGACAGTATGACAGCATAGTTTGACATTGAAACCTAATGAATAAAAAAATCTGCAATGCAGTGTCTGTGTTTGAAGGGGAGCATTTAGTTTTTAGACCATGTTTCAAAAGCAGCAGTGACAAATTGGTATATCTTACGGAGTGATCAGGATCACAAATTGGACAGAAGTTCATAGGAGAAAAGTTTGAAGGATCCTGGAATATATAGGCTGGAGAAGAGTGGATTCAGGGACACAATATCTTTCTCCAAACATTTAAAGAACTATCTTGTGGAAGAGGGTAATATTTATTTTTATTCTGGATCTGAACACTAGTATAAATTCGGTAAAACTTACTAGAAAACAGATTAGGTTCCATTCTTGAGGAAATTCTAAATCTTCATGCATTTCCTTGGGTAATATTCAAGTAGAGCTATGATCATCTGTTAGAGATGTGTAAACTAAAAATAAAATTTAAAGACCCCCTGCAACCATCTGAATGGACTCCCTCCTCTGCTAGGGCACTCTAAAATTTAACTTGAAAGACTGGTTTAGGTCATGGTTGGAAATGGGGGTAGGGTATGCCTCATTATGTCCTCCCCCCTTTTGGAATTTAGAAAAAGCCAACCAGCATTTAACATCAACACAGACGTTAAGTCTTATAAGAAACATTTACAATCTATTCTCTCTGAAGCCTGCTACAAGGAGGCTTCACCTGGATGAGAAAATTTTGTTCTCCACAACCTCTTTATTGAAACTCAGACATTCCTTTCTATTGATAGCTCTTTCAAACAATTGCCAGTTACAAAAAATTTAAATCTACCTATAACCTGGAAACCCCCCTGCTTTGAGGTGTTCTGCCTTTCTGGACCAAACCAATGTATATCTTAAATGTATTTGATTGATGCCTCATGTCTCCCTAAATTGTATAAAACCAGACTGCTCCCCAATGACCTGGGGCACATGTTCTCAGAATCTCCTGAGGGCTGTGTCACAAGCTATGGTCACTCATATTTGGCTCAGAATAAATCTCTTCAAATATTTTACAGGGTTTGACTCTTTTTGTTGACAGATGTCATAAAAAGAACGGAACATGGGTTCCACTTCTAGGATCCCTTCCAAGTTTAAGGTTCTATGAATCTAAGCTTTCTTTTTATCGTCTTGGATAGGCACATGGTTTCTGATATCACAGGGTAAAAGAAAAACACTCTTAGAGTCTTCTTAAATTAGCTTCTCCAATAGGATTATTCTTGGTTCAAATACATAATTGCTCAATTAGCTCTAGAAGTATTGTGTACACTATTAGTTGCATGTTCCAACATAATTTTCAAAACCTTTTAGAAATCCATGTCGACTGGCAATGTGAAAGCAAACCATGGATTGTACTGCCATTTCTGTCCCTGAATTGCCCACCAAGACTGGATTTACACAACAATACTTTCAACTTATTGAGGATCTGGAGTCAATAGCAACTGTAATATATTCAAACAGTATTAAAGTGTCCATAATTTGCACACTAAATGTTTATAGTATAAAATGTTAATACCTATATTTATTTATTAATTTTGATGAGAATAGTGTAGAGCTTCCAATTTTCTGGAAATAAAATGGTGAAAAATCATATAGTTGTTATTGAGACAGAAAATTTTCCTGTCACTCATGCCAGATGCTGAAATTAAGAAACATATTTCAAGCACAGGTTTAACCCATGGCACCAGCATCTAAAATGACTCCAGGCATTACAGGTGCTTATTTATTGTATTTGTATTGCCCTATAAAGCACAGACAAGACATTTTAAATAAAATAAAATTGATTTGGTCATTTCAAAATTAAGACCTTAGCAAAAAATTGCAATAGGTAAATATTTTCTGTGTCATATGAAAAACGAGTTTATAATACTAAGTCAATATTGAAAGACCTTTAAAGCTAAATTTAGTGATATGTGTAGTAATGATGAATAATCATGCAATTATTGAAGCTATGATGTTTTAAATAATTAAAAGTGGAACAAAGAAAGCCACCGGATTCCCAATGATTAATATACACTATGCCTCTTAAAAAGAGAACAATGAATCTTCTGTGATTCTCCAGGTTAATTTTTTTCCCATGGTAAGCTTTATTGGTGATGACAGCTAACAGACATTTCTTACAAACTACCATCGTTTTGAAAAGTAGTTTGCATATTTTGGCACTTTATTTTAGAGAGGAACTGAAATAAGCTATTGCCAACGTTTCACTAAATTACACTGTTAAAGGTCTGTTTTGACGTCTCCACTTTTTCACTTGAATATTTCTGAAAAATTATAAGGTACGGTTATGCATTCCTCAAAGAATGGCCTTCAGTAATCAGCTCTTCCAAAGTTCAAGAGGTCCTATTTTCATGGGGGAAGTGCTTTAATCAAGATTTTTTTTCCAGTTGTCAGTAATCAGAGCTCTTCCTGAGTTTTCTTCAACCCGTTTTTAAGATAAAATTATCAAATTTCCATGGCAATTAAATGAAAAATTTTAAGTGTATGGATCATTCTGCATAATAGTCGCCAAGGTACAAGTGAAATTAACTAAGAAAAAAGTGCAGGATTTAGCATGAAGGCCGTGTGCTCACAAAATGCAGGTCTATAGCGACGTTTCTCTGTTGTAAAAGGGTTTTGCATTCTAACCAGCTGCGTTTCCCTAGACCTGTTTTATATATATTTCCAACAGGACAAAGATAACTCTGATAAAATGTTATATAATTAAGAAAACAAGTAACAGCACAAAATATTTTTTATTATACAGAAAACAAATTAAGGTCATACTGAAACAAATGTAAGCTGGAAGAAGAACTTTTAAAGATCACATCTTCCATATGTTGTTTTTCAACTATTGTCTAAAAATACAAAGTAACTTGACTTCACAAGATAATTATACAACTAATTACACAGTTGACAAACATACACAGAGGGAGCACTTAGACAAGCCCCAGCTGAAGGAAAATTGTCCATCCCAGTGGTCAGAAATTGAGCTTTGGAAAACCTCACCACTGTGAACTAAGTCTCGCTGGGGCTCTGAGTAAACTTTAAAGGCAGTCTAGGACACAAGGACTGCAATTCCTAGGCATGCCTTAGTGTGTACTGGGCTCAGAGCCAGCCAATGTGGGGATGGGGACACATAACTTATTAAGGCAAGAGCCAAGGAAGCTAAAGCAGTGTTTATGCCAACCCTCCCCAAACTCTAGGCAGAACAGCTAGCAGCAACAAAAGTGACACTTTCTTTAACCTGATGAAAGAAGAGAGAAAAGTAAAGAGGAATTTGTCCTGCATCTTGTATACCAGCTCAGCCATAGTAGTAGAAGGCACCAGCAGAGCTGTGAGGCCCACTTTCCAGGGCCTCCATCCTGAAGAATATACCCAGACACACCCTGGGCTAGAAGAAAATCTGCTGCCTTGAGAGAAAGAACCTAGTCCTAGCAGGATTCATCACCTCATGAATAAAGAGCCTTTGGACTCTAAAGTATCAGCAGGAATACTCAAGTAGAATTCTGTGGGCCTTGAGTGAGATGTTGAAAGGTGCTGACTTCAGGTACCAGCTCTGTCACAGTGGTAGAGAACTAAGCAGGCTCTTGGGGTTCCCAATTCCAGGCCTTGTCTCTTGGATGGCATTTCTGGACATGCCCTGTTCCAGATGGGTGTGCACTGCCCTGACTAATGCATCCCAGGCCTGGCAGCATTATCCACAAGCTGAATAACGAGTCCTTGGGCCTTAAGTGAATATTAGCAGTAGCCAGGGAATACTCACCATGGGTCTTTGGTGGTGGCAGCCATTGAAAGAGGCTCCTATGCCTGTAAAAAAGGGAAAAATGAGTGAGAAAGACTTAGTCTTGAGGTTTGAGTGCCAGCTTAGCCACAGCAGAAATAGGGCACTGGGTAGATTTCAAAGGTTTTTGACTTCTGTTCCTGGATCCTGGATGGCATCTTTGGAGCTGCCTGCGGCCTGGATGAATTGTGCTGCCCTGAAGGGAGGGACACAAGACTGGCTGGCTTTGCCACCTGCTGATTATACAGTCATAGGTCCTTGAGTAAATATAGGCCATAGCCAGGTAGTGGTTACTGTGAGTCTTGGGGAAGACCCAGTGATGTGCTACCTTCAAGTCTGAATAAGGACAGTCTCAATGGTGGTGGTCACAGGGCTGCTTGTATCACCTCACTACCACTTCCAGGCGGCTCAGCGCACACACACACACACACACACACACACACACACAGAATGAGAGAGAGAGAGAGAGAGAGAGAGAGAGACAGAGAGAGATTCCAAAAAAAGCAAGGGAAGAGAACAAGAGTCTTCGACTGATAATCCAGAGAATTCTTCTGAATCATATCCAAGAAAAGCAGATGGTAAAACCTTATATTTGGAAAAATCTGAAGACTCCATCAAAAAACAATTCAAATGGATAAACAAATTCAGAAAACGTGAAAGATACAAAATCAACATAAAAATTAGCAGAATTTTTATATGCCAACAGTGAACAATCTGAAAAAAATTAAGAAATTAATCCCATTTACAATAGCTACAAATAAAATAAAACACATGGGAATTAACCACAAAAGTAAGAGATTTCTAGAATGCAAACCATAAAACATTAATTAAATAATTGAAAAAGACACACAACTTGAAAAGATATTTCATATTTATAAATTGGAAGAATAAATATTGTTAAAATGTCCATACTGCACAAAGTAATCTAGAAATTCAATGATGTTCCTATCAAAATACAAATGACATTCTTCACAGAAACTAAAAAAAAAATCCAAAAAATTATATGGAACCACAAAAGACCTAGAATAGTCAAAGCTATCACGAGAAAAATTTACAAAACTCGAGAAATTATACTACATAACTTTCAATTATACTACAGAAATATAGTAACGAAATTGGCATGGTACTGGCATAAAAAACAGACAAATAGTCCAATGAAACAGAATAGAGAACCCAGAAAGTAATCCACACACCTACAGGGGACTCATTTTCAACAAAGATGTCAAGAACATGCATTGAGGAAATATATCTATGTCTATATGGATATATCTTATATATATGTATATAAAGAGATCTATTTATCTATCTATATCTATAGCTATGCAGAAGAATGAAATTAGAACTCTCTCTGCATAAATATACACAAAGAAAAAAATGATTAAGGACTTAAATCTAGAATATCAAACTATAAAATTTCTGAAAGAAAACATTGGTGAAACTCTCCAAAACATTGGAGTGGGCAAATATTTCTTGAAGAATACCCCACAAGCATAGGCAACCAAAGCAAAAATGAACAAATGAGATCACATGAAGTTAAAAAGCTTCTGTAAAGCAAGGAAAACAATAAACAAAATGAAAAGAAAACTCAGAGTATGGGAGAAAATATTTGCTAACTACTGATTTAATAAGGTATTAATAACCAGTATGTATAAGGAGCTGAAACAACTTCATAGAAAAACTCTAATAATCTGATATTCAGCAAAAAATCTGAATAAACATTTCTTTAAAAAAAGACATTTAAATGGCAGAGAGGCTTGGGGCTTGCACCATCTGAAGCCATGGTCCAAGCAATACCTTGGTCCCTTTTACCTAGAGCTGGAACATCTGGGATGCAGGGTGCCAAGTCCCTAGGCTACACACAACAGGGGGGCCCTGGGCCTGACCTATGAAACCAAGTTTTCCTCCTAGGCCTCAGGGCCTGTGATGGCAGGGGCTGCCTCAAATGTCTCCGACATTTCTTGGAGACAGTTTCCTTGTTGACTTGGTGATTAACATTCGGCTCCTTGTTAATTATGCAAATTTCTGCAGTAGGATTGAATTTCTCCCCAGAAGATGAGTTTTTCTTTTCTATTGCATTGTCAGGCTGCAAATTTTCCCTATGTTTATGCTCTGCTTCCTCTTGAACTCTTTGCCACTTAGAATTTTTTTTTTCTGGATACCCTAAATCATCTCTCTCAAGTTCAAAGTTCCACAGATCTCTAGGAGAGAGACAAAATGCCACCAGTCTCTTTGCTAAAGCATAACAAGAGTCACCTTTGCTCCAGTTCCCAAAAAGTTCCTCATCTCCATCTGTACCCACATCAGCCTGGATTTCATTGTTTATATTGCTATCAGCATTTTGGTCAAAGCCATTCAACAAGTCTAGGAAGTTTCATACTTTCCCACATTTTCCTATCTTTTTCTGATCCCTCCAAACTGTTCCAACCTCTGCCTGTTACCCAGTTCCAAAGTTGCTTTCACATTTTTGAGTATCTTTAAAGCAGCATCCTACTACCTGGTAATATGGCCTCATTTTCTGGGGTGACACCTGAGGTTCTTGATCTCATGGCTACGGAGATCAAGGAAGAGAACACACACAGAGGTTGAGGTTTAAAGCAGAATTTTAATAGGCAAAAGAAAGGTAATAGCTATCTGCTGCAGAGAGAGTTTCCAGAAAAATTGGTTACTGATGCGTAGTGAAATGCAAGGTTTTTTTTTTTATAGAGGAGCTAGTGGGAAGGTGGTATCTGATCTACATAGGGTGAAAAAAACTGGTTAGGACCAGGTGTGCCATCTGCATAGGGCATAAATCTCTGGCAGGCCCCACCCCAATCTTTTATTATGCAGATGAGTAGCAACTCCATGTTCCTTATTTCGTTCTTACTGTGCATGTGCTAAAAAAAGATGGGAGGTGGAACCCCCATCGTGGACATGCCTGGCCCCAGGTAGCTCTTTCTATCTGTGCAGCTGCTGGCATCCCCCTGTGCAAACTTCCAGCTTCCTTATCTATGTTTGCAGCACGATCTTTTCAGGCTGTGCTTTGTCAGACAAGAAGTGATTTATTGAGCTGCTTTTTATTAGAAGGGAAGTTCTGCTGAGGACTCTTTTGCCCTCACTATCTGCCTAAATAATTTCTTTTTATCTCCTGTATCACTGGCACCAATTTACTGCATTCATATGTTCTCATACTGCTAATAAAGACATACCCGACACTGGGTAATTTATAAAGAAAAAGAGATTTAATGGAGTCCAGGTTTCACATGGATGGAGAGGCCTCACAATCATGGAAGAAGGCAAAGGAGTAGCAAAGGCATGTCTTACATGGTGGTAGCCAAGAGAGCACGTGCAGGGCAACTGCCCTTTATAAAATCATCAAATCTTGTGGGACTTATTTACTATCACAAGAATAGAACAGGAAAAACCCACACCCATGATTCAATTACCTCCCACCAGGTCCCTCCCATGACATAATTCTCCTGTAGGGATTATGGGAACTATATTTCAAGATGGGATTTGGGTGGGAACACAGCCCAAACCATATCAATGGGATTGTAAATTGGTACAACCACTATGAACAATATTTAGGAAGTTTCTCAAAAAAACTAAAAATTTAATTACCATATAATCCAGCAGTACCACTCCTAGGTATGTATCCAAAAGAAAATAAATTAGTATATGGAAGTGGTATCTGCACTGCCATGTTTATTGTAGCACTATTCACAATAGCAAATATTTGCTAGCAACCTGAGTGTCCATCAACAGATGAATGTATAAAGAAAATATGGTGCATCTACACCATGGAGTACTATTTATCCATAAAAGAGAATGTCATGTAGTAATTTAGAGCAACATTGACTAAATTGGAGATCATTACATTAAGTAAAATAAGCCAGGCACAGAAAGACAAACTTTGCATGTTCTCACTTATTGGTGGGAGGCAAAAATTAAAACAATTGAACTCATCTAGACAGAAAGTAGAATAACTTTTACTAGAGGCAGTGAGGAGGAGGAGTAAGGATGCTTAATGGCTGCAAAAAGTATTTAGAAGCAATAAATAAGAACTATTATTTGATAGCACAACAGTATGATCATAGTCAATGATCATTTAATTACACATTTAAAAATAATTAAAAGAGTGTATTTGGGTTGCTTATAACAGAAAAGATAAATGCTTGAGGTGATGGTTACTCCATTTTCCCTGACCTGATTTTTGTGCATTACATTATTGTATCAAAATATCTCATGTACCCAATAAATATATACATCTATGTTCCCACACAAATTAAAAATGAAAAAAATAAGTTTAATGTTACATTTAATAAATTAAGATTTCTTTTTGAAGATAAATTAATGCTGTGAGCTACATTTAGTGGCCCAGGATACAGTTCATTAATTTTCATTTCTGTATAGTAATCATTTGTATATATACATACAAATGCTTTTATTCACTCTCTTTTCTCTTAGCATGAGAATGAGGCAAAAATGAGATTTCAAAAACAGAAGAATGATTAAAACAAAAAGCTATTACTATGATTAAAGTAATTAAAATAGATAAGCCACTAAATAATTTTTAAAAGAGAGAGAATACAAAATTATACAAGATTAGTAATGAGAAAAGCAATATAACCTCAGCAGTGAGAGAGAAACATACAGTTAGGTAGAAGGAAATATTTCTAGTGTTTGATAGCACAGTAGGGTGACTATAGTTAATAGTTAACTGTGGTTAATAGTTAATAATTAATAGTTAATAGGATAACTATAGTTAATATACAATAATATATTGTATGTTTCCAAATAACTAGAATATATTTGAAATATTTCCAACACAAAGAAATGGTTCATTTTCAAGGTTATGAATATCCTATATACCCTGATTTGATCATTATATATTGCAGGTATGTATCAAATATCACATATACTCCATAAACTTGTACAAATATTATTTATCAACTTTTTAAAAAAATAGTAAGAAGAATTGCAAAATTAAAGTATGGAAAACCCATGGCAACAAATTAGAACTTATAAAGGAAATATTTAGTATTCTAACAATCATCTAGATTAGAAAATTAACCTAATATATAAAAGAAATATTGAAAAATTCTCAAATTAAAAAAAGTATTAAATTTCTGGCATTTAAAAATCCATAGTATATTTTAATATGTAAATCATTTCTTTTTTTATTTCTAAATTTTATTTTAAGTTCAGGGGTACATGTGCAGGATGTGTAGATTTGTTACATAGGTAAATGTATGCCATAGTGGTTTGCTACAAAGATCATTCCATCCCTAGGTATTAAGCCCAGCATTTATTAGCTATTCTTTCTAATGTTATCCCTTCTCCCATCCTCCACCCTCCAACAGGCCCCAGTGTGTGTTGCTCCCCACCATGTGTCCATGTGTTCTCATCATTCAGCTTCCACATATAAGTGAGAACACAGGGCATATTGTTTTCTGTTTCTGTGTTAGTTTGCTAAGGATAATGGCCTACAGATTCATCCATGTGCCTACACGGGACATGATTTCATTCCTCCTTATGGCTGCAAAGTATACCATGATATATATATACCCCATTTTCTTTATCCAGTCTTTCATTGATGAGCATTTAGGTAGATTCCAGGACTTTGCTATTTTGAATAATGCTACAGTGAACATACACATGCATGTATCTTTATAATAGAATGATTTCTATTCCTTTGGGTATATAATCAGTAATGGGATTGCTGGGTCAAATGGTATTTCTGCCTCTAGGTCTTTGAGTAATCACCACACTGTCTTCCACAATGGTTGAACTAATTTACACTCCCACCAACATTGTAGAAGCATTTCTCTTTTTTTGACAATCTTGCCAACATCTGTTGTTTTATGAGTTTTTAATAATAGTCATTCTGACAGGTGTGAGATGATATCTCATTGTAGTGTTGATTGGCATTTTAATAATAATCAGTGATATTCAGCTTTTTTTCTATATGTTTGTCAGCAGCACGTATGTCTTCTTTTGAAAATGTCTGTTCATTTCTTTTGCACACGTTTTAATGAAGTTGGTTTTTTCTTCTTGTAAATTTGTTTAAGTTCCTTATAGATGCTAGATATTAGAACTTCGTCAGATAGATAGACTGCAATAATTCTCTCTTATTCTGTAGGTTGTTTATTGATATTTTCTTTTGCTGTGCAGAAGCTCTTTAGTTTAATTAGATCTTATTTGTCAATTTTTGCTTTTGATGCAATTGCTTTTGCCATCTTAATCATGAAATATTTGTCCATGCCTATCTCCTGAATGCTATTGCCTAGGTTTTCTTCCAGAGTTCTTATAGTTTTAAATTTTACATGTAAATCTTTAATCCATTTTGAGTTGATTTTTGTATATGGTTTAAGGAAAGGGTCCAGATTATATGTTCTGCATATGGCTAGCCTGTTCTCTCAGCACCATTTATTGAATAGGGAATTTTGTTGTCATTGATTGTTTTTGTCAGGTTTGTCAATGATTAGATGGTTGTAGGTGTGCAGTCTTATTTATGGGTTCTCTATTCTGTTCCACTGGTCTATGTGTCTGCTCTTGTACTAGTGCCAGGCTGCGTAGATTACTGTAGCCCTGTAGTATAGTTTGAAGTTGGGTAGCATGATCCCTCCAGCTTTGTTCTTTTTGCTTAGGATTTCTTTGGCTATTTCGGCACTTTTTTGGTTTCATATGAATGTTTAAATATTTTTTTTTTAATTCTGTGAAGAATGTCAATAGTAGTTTAATAAGAATAGCATTGAATGTATAAATTGCTTTGGGCAGTATGTCCATGGCCATTTTAACAATATTGATTTTTTGCAATGTTGATTTTTAATAATATTGATTTTTCCTATATTGACATTATAAATGGAATATTTTTCCGTTTGTGTCTTCTCTGATTTCTTTGAGCAGTGGTTTGTAGTTCTCCTTAAAGAGGTCCTTCACTTCCCTTTTTAGCTATATTCCTAGGTATTTTATTCTTTTTGTGGCAGTTTTGATTGGAAGTTCATTTGTGATTTGGCTCTTGGCTTGCCTGTTGTTGGTGTGTAGAAATGCTAGCATTTTTTTTCTCATTGATTTTGTATCTTGAGACTTTTCTGAAGTTGCTTAACAGCTTAAGAAGGTTTGGAGCTGAGACAATGGGGATTTCTAGATATAGGATCATGTAATTTGCAAACAAAGATAGTTTTATTTTCTCTCTTCCTATTTGAATACTCTTTATTTCTTTCTCTTGCCTGATTGCCATGGCCAAAACTTCCAAAATTATGTTGAATAGGAGTGGTGAGAGAGGGCATCCTTGTCTTGTGACAGTTTTCAAGGGGAATTCTTCCAACTTTTGACAGTACAGTATAATGTTGGCTGTGGGTTTTTCATATATGGCTGTTATTATTTTTATGTATGTTTCTTCAATACCTAGTTTACTGAGAGCTTTTAACATGAAGGGATGTTGAAATTTCTCAAAAGTTTTCTTCTTTGCATCTATTGAGATAATCATGTGGTTTTGGTCTCTAGGTATGTTAATATGATGAAGCACATTGATTGATTTGAGTGTGTTGAACCAACCTTGCATCCCGAGGATGAAACTTACTGACCTTGGTGGATAAGTTTCTTAATGTGCTGCTAAATTCACTTTGCCAGTATTTTCTTGAGGATTTTTGCATCAGTGTTTATCAAGGATATTGGCCTGAAGTTTTTTTCTTTTTGTTGTATCTCTGCTAGGTTTTGGAATCAGGATGATACTGGCCTCATAGAAAGAGTTAGAAAGGAGTCTCTCTTTTTTAGTTTATTGGAATACTTTGAGTAGGAATGGTACCAGCCCATCTTTGTGCCTCTGGTAGAATTCAGTTGTTTATCTTAATACACTTGTTGGTAGGCTACTTATTCCTGCCTCAGTTTCAGAGCTCATTATTGTTCTATTCAGAGATTCCATTTCTTTCTCTTTCAGTCTTGGGAGAGTGTATGTGTCCAAGAATTTATCCATTTATTTCTAGATTTTCTAGTTTATGTGCATAGAGGTGTTCATAGTATTCTCTGATGGTTGATGTATTTCTACGGCATCAGTGATGATATCCCTCTGATCATTTCTGATTGTGTTCTTTTGAATGTTCTCTTTTTTCCTTCTTTATTAGTCTATCTAGCAGTCTATTTTATTAGTTTATTTTTTTCAATAAAAATGGCTCCTGGATTCATTGATTTTTAAGTTCTTTTTTTTTTTTTAATGTCTGTGACTCCTTCAGGTCAAGTCTGATCTTGATTATTTCTTGTCTCATGCTAGCTTTGGGGTTTGTTTGCTTTTGATTTTCTTGTTCTTTTAGTTGTGATGTTAGCTTGTTAACTTGAGATCTTTCTAGCTTTTTGATGTGAGCATTTAGTGCTATAAATTTCCCTCTTAACACTGCTTTAGCTGTGTCCCAGAAATTCTGGTATGTTGTATCTTTATTCTCATTAGTTTCGAATAACTTCTTGTTCTCTGCCTTAATTTCATTATTTACTCAAAGGCCATTCAGGAACAGCTTGGTCAGTTTCCATGTAGTTGTGTGGTTTTGAGTGAATTTTTTAATCTTGAGATTTAATTTGACTGTGCTGTGGTCCGAGGACTTTTGTAAAACTTATGTCTTTTGTCTAGAATGTTTTTTTCATTCTGTAACTATAAATAGTATCTTCTCATCCTTAAGGTTTTAGCTATCTTGTAATCTATTTAGAATATATGAGCATCCTATCCAAAGTAAAATCCTCCCACACTGTTATTTCTGTATGCCAGATTTTGTTGATTTTAATAGCAATTATAGTGAGATAACATATTAATATTTTAAGAAATGCATTTGCTCAAAGGAATTTTATATGATTTCTATTCTTCTCCTGAGACCTTCCTTTAACATTGGCAGTGTCTCAGGCAAGGGTTCAAATGAAAGCTGGCAATCTATATGTATAAATATCTAAAACTTACAAATAAACCCTAAAAACTTTTAAATTATGGTATCTTATCATAACTGGAAGAATACACTTCTATATTGAATTGAAGAGTCAGGTTAGAGTTTATAATTGTCTTTAAAGCATGCCTTGAGGTTCCACTGCTGGGAGAGCTAGCCTCTGTCCTCTGTTTTTCCATATTTGGCAGGTCTTCCTTCTTTTCCCACCCCTAGCTCTATTACACATTGCAAAAGGCTTCATGAAGCTACACCTAAACACTCATATCCTAGCTCCATTTATCACCCCAACTAATGCTTCTCCTTGGCCACTCCTCAGTCCTATTGTTGCACATGCTAGCAAAACAGAGACAGACTTACAGAAGAGGCCCATATAGGTATTGGAGGTGGAGGATTCTCTTTTTCAGATCTGAAGTCTGTAATATTTTTAGAGTTTGGTACAGTTAGGTATTCTGCCTCTACTGCCTCAGTAAAGAAATGACAGGCAGAAAAAAGTCACCAAACATGTCAATTCTATGCTCTAGGTTATTAACCAGAGTCAAATTTCTCTACCCATGAAACTAGGTATGTTTACATTACTAGTCAAGAAGAAGAGCATTAGGAAGCAAAGAGATCTTAGGATCAAGGGGAACACTACAAAAGTCTTTGCTTTATCTCACAGGTCATGTTCCAGTGTGGTAAAAAGACAAGGTAAGTGTGGTATACTCTGCACTGCTTTTATTGTTCTTCCTGTGATTCCTACAAACAATAACATTCAGTCTGATTGGTAAAAAAAAAAAATTTATATATACTTTCCCAGAATTCAATCACTGTGCCAATTCCCTATCTTCAACCCCCACCTAAAATATTAATATACTTACTTCACTGGTGTTGGTTTCTCTGCTTTTTAAAGTCATTATATCTGAAAGATTTGTACAAAGAATGAGCTTTTAAAATAGTACTCTAGCCACCACAAATAAAACTATATTTCAGCAACACAGAAAGAATTGTCCATTTGATGAAGTCCAGACCCATTGCTTTGAGTAAGAAAAAATAAAATTTTCAAAAAGCATCTTCCTACATTTTTTCAGCCAAAACATTTAAAGCCCAGATGAATATTTGTTTTGTTTTGTTTTTTATTAGTTCCATTTGCTTTATAGCATTTTTTTAATTTGGAAGATACATTATTTTGGAAAAATGTTGACAGCAGTGACATAGAAATAATTGTGTAGTCAAATATGTTTGAAAATTATTGTATATGATATTCCCTGCAACTTGCAGAATCATAATACATGTAAGTATAGCAAAGACTCTGAGAAGCTCTAAAGTAAATAAACCTCTTTAATCGATTAAAACTGACATTGTCCAAACTCTTGAGTACAGAACAATTCTTCTCTCAGAATTCATATTAATATCTGTTAGAAGAGTGTTTTATAGTACACTTAGGGAAACAATGACTTTCACTTCAAAATTTGGCACCAGATTGTATGTCACTGTTAGTTATCTGTGTTTGTGATTTTTCAATGTTTTCTGGATATTTATGATATTTATGTGTCTTAGTGGCACTTGGTAGAAACTGTCAAAATTTCCTATGCAGATGCCATAAAGCAGTTTCATAAATGAGAAGCACTCAGTGGTAGAGACTTCCAATTCTCTTGAAGTGTTATTTTCCTTTGAACCTACTGGCAACCTGTACTCCCACTCCCCCCCCAGTTTAGCTACTTTGCACAGCTTCCGACTTTTCCACCATTCCTTACAGTTGTGGGCATCCAACTTAGTTCTGGCAAATAGGCTATGAAGACAAGTGATGTGTGTAAATCCTTGATCTTATATTTTACACAGAAAACTACTTCTACTGCAATTTCTCTTCGTCCTCTCCTCTGTAATAAAATGTGCAAATGTAGTCATGATGAGCTAGCTTCAATCAAGCAGAGAAACAAGTTAGAAGAGGAAAGTTTACTACCTGGATATTTATCCAAAACAGGACTTTGTTCCTCCTCTGCACTGCTTATGAAATTCATGTTGTTATATGGAATGAAAAATATATTATTTTAGCTACTGTTCTTTGGGGTTTTGTATAGTATAATGACATGTACTTTAACCAATATACCTTATCTACATTACTCAAGTTTACAGTATTGATTATATTATCCATATATTGTCTTCTGGATCTGTTAAAGATAAAAAGACTGAAAGTGTTCTCATTAAAAATGTATTTTATCTTGCTCTCCTCATTTCCAATATTTTAAATATAAATAGCAAATGCTAATATTAATCAATTTTTACATTCACATTGAATAGAAACTACATATTCTGTCAATATAAATAAATAATGATTTCAAGTCATTTTAGAGTTTATTTCATGACTTCTACTGTATCTTCTATTGGTATTTTCATAGTTGCTTCAGCTTTGCCTAATTTCTCTGTAAACATTCATTCATTGTAACCCTTTCTTTATTATAATTTTTGTGGTTGTTGTTAAAAATATGTAGATGGAATTTTCTTGTTAAAGCCAGTCTAATAATACAGGAAATTAATCCATTTATATTCAAAGTTATCACTGAGCTTTTACACCACTTTAAAAATCTTTTTATTATGATAATTATTTTATATGACATGAAGCATAAAAATTTGTTTCTTTCTTCTAACAATATATTATATATATATATGTATTTGTGTGTATATATATTTACACACATATATATTTACACACATATATATTTACACACATATTTGTATGTGTAAGTATGCATGTGTGTGTTATTCTCCCAATGGACAACCTAATATTTTAAAAATATGATGATATTTATTATTTTATATTTCAAAGTCAAAAATGAGTCCTTATAATTTTTCAATGCATAGTTGTTCATTTCTATAATCTAGAATTCTAGACTTAGGTAATTTATTTTTATTCAACTACAATGCATCCATTTCATGTTTTATTTTTTGAAAAAAAGACATTTTAGATACATGTTTATTTTACAAAAATATACATATATGGAAATTATTGTAGGGCAGATGTAGAGAAAGATGGCGGAATTGAAAGCTCTATGGATTGCCTTCCCCCATAAGAACACCAAGTTAAAAATGATCTGCACCGAAAAGACAACTTCATGAGATCCAAAATCAGGTGAGCACTCACAGTACCTGGTTTTAGCTTCATATCACTGAAAGAGGCACTGAAGAGATAGAAGAAACAGTACTGAATCATCAACACCACCATCCAACAAATAATAATTTGTTTTTTTGAAAAGTTAAACAAAATAGACAAATCTTTAGCCAGACTAAGAAAAAATAGAGAACATTCAAACAATAAAATTGGAAATGCAAAAGGAAAAGATACAACTGATACTGCAGAAATTCAAATGGTCATTCATGGCTATGAGGAATTATTACCAATAAACTAAAAGATCTAGAAGAAGTGGACAAATTCCTAGATACATAAAAATTACCAAGATTGAACCAGGAAGAAATCCAAAACTTGAACAAACCAATAAAATGTAAGCCATAATAAAAAGCATTCTAGAAAAGCCCGGGCCCTAATAACTTCATTGCTGAATGTTACCAAACATTAAAAGAGGAACTAATAATAATTCTACAGAAAGTATTCCAAGAATAAAGGATGGGATATTTCCAAAGTAATTGTATGAGGCCAGTATTGCCTTGATACCAAAGCCAGACAAAGATACATCACAAATAGAAAACTACAAGTCAATACCTTTTATCAGTATTAGTGCAATTACCCTCAACAAAATACTAGAAAACCTAATTCAACAATACATTAGAAACATCATTTATCATGAGCAAGAGGGATTTATTCCTGGGATGCAAAGATTGTTGAACATATACAAATAAATTAACATGATACCCCATATCAACAGAATTAAAGACAAAACCATATGATCATTTGAATTGATGCTGAAAAAATATTTGATAAATTCAACACCGCTTCATTTAAAAAAACCCTCAAAAAACTGGTGGTTTTAGAAGGAATATACCTCAACATAATAAAAGCTATATATGACAGACTCATAGCTAGTGTCATACTGAATGGGGAAAAACAGAAAGCCTTTTCTCTATCTGGAAAATGACAAAGATGCCCACTGTCACTACTGTTATTTATTTATTTTTATACTTTAAGTTCTGGGATACATGTGTAGAATGTGCAGGTTTGTTACATAGGTATACACATGCCATGGTGGTTTGCTGCACCCATCGACCCGTCATCTACATTAGGCATTTCTCCTAATGCTATCCCTCCCCTAGCCCCCCACCACTTGACAGGCCCCAGTGTGTGATGTTCCCCTCCCTGTGTCCATTTGTTCTCATTGTTCAACTCCCACTTATGAGTGAGAACATGCGGTGTTTGGTTTTCTCTTCCTATGTTAATTTGCTGAGAATGATGGTTTTCAGCTTAATCCATGTCCCTGCAAAGGATGTGAACCATCCTTTTTATGGCTGCATAGTATTCCATGGTGTATATTTGCCACATTTTCTTTATTCAGTCTGTCATTGATGGGCATTTGGGTTGGTTCCAAGTCTTTGCTATTGTGAACAGTGCCGCAATAAACATACATGTGCATGTGTCTTTATAGTAGCATGATTTATAATCCTTTGGGTATATATCCAGTAATGGGATTGCTGGGTCAAATGGTATTTCTGGCTCTAGATCCTTGAGGAATCGCCACACTGTCTTCCACAGTGGTTGAACTAATTTACACTCCCAACAGTGTAAAAGTGTTCCTGTTTCTCCACATCCTCGCCAGCATCTGTTGTTTCCTGACTTTTTAATGATCGTCATTCTAATTGGTATGATATAATATCTCATTGTGGTTTTGATTTGCATTTTTCTAGTGACCAGTGATGATGAGCTTTTTTTCATATGTTTGTTGACCACATAAATGCCTTCTTTTGAAAAGTGTCTGTTCATATCCTTTGCCCACTTTTTGATGGGGTTGTTTGTTTTGTCTTGTAAATTTGTTTTAATTCCTCGTAGATTCTGGGTATTAGCCCTTTGTTAGATGGATAGATTGCAAAAATTTTCTCCCATTCTGTAGGTTGCCTGTTCACTCTGATGATAGTTTCTTTTGCTGTGCAGAAGCTCTTTAGTTTAATTAGATCCCATTTGTCAATTTTGGCTTTTGTTGCCATTGCTTTTGGTGTTTTGGACAAGAAATCTTTGCCCATGCCTATGTCCTGAATGGTATTGCCTAGGTTTTTATAGTTTTGGAAGTTCTAGTTAGAGCAATCAGACAATAGAAAGATATAAAGAACATCAAAATTGGAAAGGAAGAAGTCAAATTATCCTTGTTTGCAGACTATATAATTTTATATTTGTAAAAACCTAAAGACTTCACAAGAAAACTACTAGAACTGATCAACAAATTCAGTAAATTTCCAGGATGCAAAATCAACATCCAAAAATCAGTAGCATCTCCATATACCAACAGTGAATAACAGGAAAAATAAATAATAAAAGTAATCCCGTTTACAATAGGCATACTTAAAATTGAATACCTAAGAATTTACCAAAGAAGTGAGAGATCTCTATAATATAAGACGCTGATAAAAGAAATTGAGGAGGGTTCCAAAAAATAAAAAGAAATCCATGTTCGTGGATTGGAAGAGTCAATATTGTTAAAATGACCATACTACTCAAAAGAATCTACAGATTCAATACAATATCTATCAAAATACCAGTAGAAAAAAATCTTAAAATTTATATGAAACCACAAAAGACCCAGAATAGCCAAAGCTGTCATTAGCAATGAGAACTAAACTGGAGGACTCACATTACCTGAATTCAACTTATACTACACAGCTACAGTAACCAAAACAGCATGGTACTGACATAAAAATAAACACACAGACCAATTGAACAGAATCCAGAAACAAATCCACATACTTACAGTGAACTCATTTTTGACAAAGTTGCCAGGAGCATTCATTGGAGAGTGGATAGAGGCTTCCATAAATTGTGCTAGGAAAACTGGATATCCATAGGCAGAAGAATGAAACCAGATCCCTATCTCTCGCCATATACAAAAATCAAATCAAAACGGATTGAAGACTTAAATCTATGACCTCAAGTGATAAAACTACAACAAGAAAACATTGGGGAAAATCCCCCAGGACATTGGTCTGGACAAAGATCCCTTGAAAAATATTGCACATGCACAGGCAACCAATGCAAACATGAACAAATGGGATTACATCAAGTTCAAAACCTTCTGCACAGCAAAAGATACGATAAACAATGTGCAGAGACAACACACAGAATAGGGTAAAATATTTGCAACCTACCAATCTGACAAGGAATTCATCACCAGAATATATAAGCAGGTTAAACAACCCTATAAGTATTTATAAAAATTAATAATCTGATAAGAAAATGGGTAAAAGATTTGAATAGGCATTTCTCAAAGGAGATATACCAATGGAAAAAAGGCATATGAAAAGGTGCTCAACATCACTGATCATGAGAGAAATGCAAATCAAAACAACAATAGAAACTACAATGAGATATCATCTCATCTCGGTTAAAATAGCTTATGTCCAAAACACTGGCAATAACAAATGTTGATGAGGATGTGGAGAAAAGGGAACACTTGTACACTGTTGGTAGGAATGTAAATTGGCACAGCCACTATGGAGAACAATTTTGAGATTCCTCAAGAAACTAAAAATTGAGCTACTATATGACCCACCAACCTCACTGCTGCGTATATACCCAACAAAAAGGACATTCGTATATGAAAGAGATATCTGCACTTTTATGTTTGTTGCAGCACTATTTACAATATTCAAGCTTTGAAACCAACCTAAGTGTCCATCAACAGATGAATGGATAAAGAAGATGTGAGCCGGGCACGGAAGCTCAAGCCTGTAATCCCAGCACTTTGGGAGGCTGAGGTGGGTGGATTACGAGGTCAGGAGATCAAGACCCCGTCTCTACTAAAAATTAGCCAGGCGTGGTGGTGGGCGCCTGTAGTCCCAGCTACTCGGGAGGCTGAGGCAGGAGAATGGCGTAAACCCGGGAGGCAGAGCTTGCAGTGAGCTGAGATCGCCCCACTGCACTCCAGCCTGGACGACAGAGTGAGACTCTGTCTCAATAATAATAATAATAATAATAATAATAATAATAATAATAAATAAAGAAGATGTGGTATGTATACACAATGGAGTACTATCCAGCCATAAAAATGAATGAGATCCAGTCATTTGCAGCAATATGAATGGAACTGGAGGTCATTAAGTTAAGTGAAATAAGTTAGGCACAGAAAGACAAACTTCATATGTTCTCCCTTATTTGTGGAATCTAAAAATCAAAACAATTAAACTCATGGAAATAGAAAGTAGAAGGATGGATACCAAAGGGCGATAAGGGTAATGAGGGGTTGGGTGGAAGGTAGGGATTGGTAATGTGTACAAAAAAAAAATAGAAACAATGAATAAGACCAACTACATGATAGCACAATAGGGTGAATATAGTCAACAATAACTTAATTGTATATTTTTAAATCACTTAAAGAACATTATTGGGTTGTTTGTAACTCAAAAGTTAAATGCTTGAGGGGATGAATACTCCATTCTCCATGATGTGCTTATTTCATACTGCATGTCTGTATCAATACATCTCATGTACCCCATAAATATATACACCTACTATGTGACTACAAATTTTTAAAAAACAATAAAATAATAAACTTATTGCAATAATACCTGAAATATTTTAAAAATTTGTTTTCTTGTCATAACTTTGAATTTTAGAGTTCTAGTTTTGAATTAATCTCTCACTTCTCTACAACTTTAAATATTCTTTATGCTAATTTAAATGGTAGTCTATATTCTATATCCTTTCATAGCCTTTTCTCATTTCTTCTGTCTTTTTAACTATGCATTTTGAAATAATTTTTGATTCATCTTTAAAAAATTTATTTTATTCAATATTCAAAGTATTTTACTTTGTGTAGCATAGTTTAAATTTGATAGTTGTATTTTATTTTGTATTTTTTCTTCAACTTTTATTTAGGATAAATGTAGTATATATGAAGATTTGTTACATGGGAATATTCCAGTATACACAGCTTTAGAGTACAGATTTCATCGAGATAGTGAGCATAGTGTTCAACAGGTATTTAACCCACTCCTCCTCCACCCTGTAGTGGTCCACAGTATCTATTGTTCATGTATTTATGTCCATGTGTGTTCAATGTTAGCTCCTACTTATAAGTGAGAATGTGCAGTATTTGGCTGGCTGTTCCTGTGTTAATTTGTTTAGGATTATGGACACCAGTTTCATCCCATTGTTGCAGAAGACATTATTTCATTCTTTGCAGTGGCTGGATAGTATTCCATGGTGTGTGATATAGCTTGGATATTTTTCTCCACCCAAGTCTTACGTAGAAATGTAATGCCCAATGTTGGAGGTGGGGCCTCATGGGAGGTTTTTGGGTTACGGTGTTGAATCCCTTGTGGCTTGATGTTGTTCTTACTCTGACAGTGAGTGAGTTCTCATGAAATGTGGTTGTTGTCAAGTGTGGCAATTCCCCTCCCATGCTTGCTCTTGCACCTGCTTTTGCCATGTAAAGTGCCTCCTCCAGCTTCCCCTTCCGCCATGAGTAAAAGCTCCCTGAGGCCTCTCCAGAAGCTGAGCAGGTGCTGGCACCATATTTGTACAGCTTGCATAACTGTGAGCCAATTAAAACTCTTTTCTTACAAATTACCAAGTCTCAGGTGTTTCTAGCAATGCAAGAATGCCCAAATACAGTATACATGTGCCATATTTTCTTTATCCAATCTACCATTGATGTGCACCTGGGTTTATTTCATGTCTTTGCTATTCTGGGTAGATCAGCAATGAACATATGAGTGCTTGTGTCTTTTGGGTAGAATGATTTATTTTCCTGTGGGTATAAACTTGAAAATGGGATGCTGGGGTAAACGGTAGCTCTGTTTTAAGATCTTTGAGAGATTTCCAGGCTACTTTCCACAGTGTCTGGACTACTTTACATTCCCACCAATAGTGCATAAGTATTTCCTTTTCTTCACAGCCTCACCAGTATCCCTTGTTTTTTGACTTTTTAAGAATAGCCATAAGAATAGCTGTGATTGCACCACTGCACTCCAACCTGGGTGAAAGAGTGAGACCCGGTCTCAAAAACCAAACCAAACAAAAGAATAGCCATTCTGACTGGTATGATTTGGTCATTGTGCTTTTAATTTGCATTTCTGTGGCGAATAGTGGTGATGAGCATTTTTGTATATGTTTGTTGATCACTTGTATGTCTTCTTTTGAGAAGTGTCTGCTCATGTTCTTTGCCCACCTTTTTAATGGTGTTATTTGTTTTTTTGCTTGACGATTTGTTTTAGTTTCCCATAGATTCTAGATATTAGGCGTTTGTCAGATGTATAGTTCGTGAATATTTTATCCCATTCTTTACATTATCAGTTTTCTCTATTGACAGTTTCTTTTACTGTGAAAAAGCTCCATATGAGTAAATTTTTATATATGTTGGAAGGTTACACTCCAGATTCAATACTTTCCATGTGGCTAGCCAGGTATCCCAACACCATCTATTAATTATATAATTCTTTCCCCATTTGTTGGTTTTGTGAGCCTTCTAGAAGACCAGATGTTTGTAGATGTGTGGCTTTATTTCTGAGTTTTCTATTTTGTTTCATTGGTCTATGTGGCTGTTTTGTATCAATAATCAGCTGTTTTTGTTACTATGGCTTTATAGTATAGTTTGAAGGGTATTGTGATGTCTTTAGCTTTGTTCCTTTTTCTTAAGATTGCTTTGGCTATTTGGGCTCTTTCTTATCACATATAAAGTTTAAAATAGTGTTTCTCTAAGTCTCTAAAAATGGCATTGGTAGTTCTATAGAAATGTCACCGAATTTGTAAGTTGCTCTGGGCAGTATGGCGATTTTTCTGATATTGATTCTTCAAATCCATGAGCATCAAATGTTTTTCAATTTATTTGTGTCATCTCTGATTTTTTTTCAGGGGTGTTTTGTAGATCTTTCATGTCCTTGGTTAGCTGTATTTCTGGCACTTCATTTTCTCTGTGTCTATTTTAAGTGGGATTGTGTTCTTGATTTCACTCTCAGCCTGGATATTGCTGGTGCATAGAAATGTTAATGATTTTTGTACATTTACTTTGTTCCTGAAACTTTAATAAAGTCATTTATCAATTTTAGGAACTTTTTGGCAGAATCTTTAGGATTTTCTATGAATACAACCACACTGTAAGTAAAGAAAGATAGTTTGGCTTCTTCTCTTCCTATTAGGATGCCTTTTATTTTTTTTCTCTTTATGGATTGCTCTGGCTAGGACTTTCAGCACTGTGTTATACAGGAGTGGAAAGAGTGGACATCCTTTCATTTCTCCAGATCTCAACAAGAATGCTTCTAGCTTTTTCCATTTACTATGGTGTTGGCTGTGGGTATGTATGGCATGGATGGCTCTTATTATTTTGAGGTATATTTTTTCAGTGCCTAGTCTGCTGAGGGTTTTTAACAAGATTGGATGTTAGATTTTATCAAAAGCTTTTTATGCATCTATTTAGATGATCATATAATTTTGCTTTCAAAGTGTTGAATCACATTTATTGACTGATATGTATCAATTCAGTCTTGCATCCCAGAAATAAAACTTACTTTATTATAATAAATTGTCTTTTTTTTCTGTTGTTGAATTTGGTTTGCTAGTATTTTCTTAATGATTTTTGTGTCGATATTTAGTGGGGATATTGGTTTGAAGTTTTCTTTCTTCATTATGTCTCTGCCAGATTTTGGTATTTCACTGATGCTGGCTTCATAGAATGAGGTAGGGAGGAATCCCTCTTCCTCCTTTTTTAAAATAGTTTCAGTAGGTTCCTTCTTTGTACATCTGGTAGAATTCAGCTGTAAATCCATTTAGACCAGGGCTTTTTGTGGGTGATAGGATTTTTACTACTTGTTCAATTTCAGAGCTTGATATTGGTCTATTCAGAGTTTCCATTTCTTCCTGTTTCAATCTTGGGAGATGGTACATATCCCCAAATTTTTCTGTTTCCTCTATATTTTCTAATTTGTGTGCACAGAGTTGCTCATAGTATTCTATGAGGATCTTTTGTATTTCTGTGGGATCAGTTGTAATTTAATCTTTGTTATTTCTGATTGTGCTTATTTGGATCACCTTATTTTTTTCTTTGTTAACCTAGCTAATGGTTTACCAATTTTATTTATGTTTGTGAAGAACAAAGTCTTAATTTCATTGTTTTTTAAATAAATTATTGCAACACAATTTCATTACTTTCTCTCTAATTTTAGTAATTTTTCTTCTGCTTGCTCTGTCACTGTTTTTTTCCATTTATTTCTAGTTCCTTTAGGCACAAATTTAAATTGTTAATGTGAGATCTTTCTAACTTCTTCATTAAGACATTTAGCTCTATAAACATCCTTCTTAACACTGCTTTGGCTACATCCCAGACATTTTGGTAAATTGTCTGTTTATGTTTATTAATTTCAAATTTTTAAATATCTGTCTAATTTTGATATTCAGCCAGGAGTTATTCACAAATAAGCTGTTTAATTTCCATGTATTTTTGTCATTTTTGATAGATCTTCTTGGTATTTATTTCTATATTTATTACACTGTGGTCTGATAATTTTCTTGGTATAATTTCAATATTTTTTAATTTATTGAGCCTTGCTTTGTGGCCAAGCATGTGGTTGATCTTAGAATATGTCCCATGTGCAGATGAGAAGAATATGTATTCTGTGGTTGTTGAGTGTGGTGTTTTGTAGATGCCTATTAGTTAAAATTGGTCAAGTGTTAAGTTTAAGTGCAAAGTTTCTTTATTAGTTATTTGCCTCAATTATCTGTCTAATGTTGTCAGTGGGGTGAAATCTTCCACTGTTATTGTGTTTTTTTGGAGGCCAAGAAGAAGCCATTTCAAGAATCTAGGTCACTCAATGTTGGGTGTGTATATATTTAGAATAGTTAGGATTGCTTCTTTGATTGCACACTTTATCATTTTGTAATGCCCATCATTGTCCTTCTTAATTTTTGCTGGGATAAAGTCTGTTTTATTGGTTAATTGTCTGTCTCTTCTCTCTAGCTACCGTTAAGACTTTTTATTTTGCATTGACCTAGGTGAATCCAAAGATTATGTGCCTTGGGGATGATCATCTTGTATAATGTCTGGCTGGAGTTCTCCGTATTTCTTAGATTTGCATGTCAATTTCTCTAGTGAGATTTGGAAAAAAATTGGGGACTATATTCTCAAACATATTTTCCAAGTTGCTTATTTTCTCTCTTTACCTCTCAGGAATGCCAATGAGTTGTACACTTGTTCTCTTTTATAAGAATATTTCTAAGACGTTTTGTTCATTTTAAAAAATTATTCTTTAGTTTCCTCTGTCTGGCTTGATTCAAAAAGCCAGTCTTGGAGCTCTGATTATTTCTTCAGTTTCATCTACTCTTCAGTTAATATTTTCAATTGTATTAAAAAACATTGCATAAATTTTTTCAGCTCAAGAAGTTTAGTTTGGATCTTTTTTTGTCTTTCAGTTCTTGAATTATTTTACTGGATTGCCTGGGTTCCTTGGATTGAGTTTCAACTTTCTCCTCAATCTTGATGAGCTCCCTTCATCTGGATTCTGAATTACATGTCTATCATTTCAGAAAATACAGAATGGTTGAGAACAATTGCTGGGGAGCTAGTAAGCTCATTTAGAGGTAAGGGGACACTCTTGCTTTTTGAATTTTCAGAGATCTTGTGCTTACTTTTTCTCATTTTGGAGGGCTAAAGGTTCTTTCTGGAGATTTTCTATGTGTATGGTCTTTGTTGTTAAATTCTTGTTCTCGGTTTTTCTTGGGAGATTATTAGTAGTGATTTTGGTGTTGCAGTTTGGGCTCTGATTCAGTAGATAACACTTGAGAGCAATAGGCACTAAAAAGATTTTTACTCAACCACAAGATTCCTTTGTGTATCTTCACCTTTGCAGCTGTGTTCACTTCGCTGGGTGCCATTAGGAGCCCAGAACCAGCCATAGCATTCAGGGACCCCACTTGGGGTTCCCAGCTTCCTCTCCCTTCAGCCCCAGTGACTGCATCTATTTTCCATCCATATACAGCATTTTCTCTCTAAAGATCTGTTGAAAATATTTGGTTTTGTAGTCAAAACATGTTCTCTCTCTGTGGGAGCAGCACTTACTGGCTGCAGCTAGTTGACCATCTTGACACTTCCTTCTGATAGTTGTGCTTTAAACTTCATTCAATCTTTTCTGAACTTATATTATTCTCTCTTTGTTATTTGCTTAGATTGTATAGATTCAATATGCTTTTTAATATTGTTGAGTGCTCATTTCAGAAAATGTGCCAAATTTTAATTTTAGTTCTTATACCAAATCTATTATATAAATAGACCATTTTAATTTTAATTATAACTCCTCATTTTTTCATTTAAACTGAACTTTAATAATATATTTAATATTTTTCTATTATCTATGCAAAAGAATGTCATGCTTTCTTAGTATTACCTGAAAGTCAAGTTATATTTGTAAGGGGATCTATGAGAGATGGATATAAGCTCTGCCTACACATTTCAGATGACAGAAGAAAGAACAAATACATAGCAACTTTAAATTGTCATAATCTTCAGAGATTCTGCCACCTGGGCTGGGGATGAGGAGTAAGATAAAGAAAGGTGGAAGAGACATAGAGACTGAGTTTTGAAATGGTTGTGCCAGAGGATTTGCTTCTGTGATTGAGTTTGTGTTTTAGCAGTGAAAGTTCGTCTGTTTTCTTTGATTCTGTGTTCTCTTTGGTGTCTATATTCATATCAGAAGCAGAGGTACTTTTAATTATAGTTTTAGTTAGTGTGAATTATAGTACCATCAATAGGATTTCAAATTCTGCTAATTTGCAGAAAAGAAAAGCAGTTGGTTAGAGTCCTAATGAAAAAAGTAGAAAACATACTCAGAAAATATGAGTCATGTAAGTAGAAAGATAGAAACTGTAAGAAAGGTTCAATAAAATATGCTAGAAATAAAAAACACTGTAACAGAAATGAAGATTGTCTTTTGTGTGTATATTAGTATACTGGAGTTGGGCAAGAAAACAATCATGGAGCTTAAAAGCATGTCAATAGAAATTTTAAAAAAACTAAAATGCAAAGAGAAAAATTAAAGTGAGAAAGAATAACTAATAACTGCAAAGCAATTTAAGAAGGTGTCAAATATATATAATGGGAACACCAGAGAAAAAAAGAGAAAAATAAAGCAGCAGAAAAATAAAAATGAATTAATAAAGCTGAAACTTTTCCAAAATTAGTGACAAATAATAAACTACAGATCCAGAAAGGTCATAAAATGCCAATCAGGATAAATACATTAAATATAAGTACCTAAGCATATAATAATAAAATTGATAAAAATTAAAGACAGGGGAAATCTTGGAAAATACAATAAGGAAAAATAAAAGCTGTTGACCTCTAGGTCAAATAAAGGAATTACATCAGATTTTTCACCAGAAATTATGCAATTATGAAGAGGGTATGGTGAAATATTTACAGCGTTGAAAGAATAAAACACACACATAAAATTCTCTATCCAGTGAAATTTTCCTCCAAATGTGAAGGACAAGTACTTTTCTCAGAAAAAGAAAAACCAAGGTAATGTATCACCAGTAAATATGCCCTGCAAGAAATGTTAAAGGAAGTCTCTCAAATAACAAGAAAATGACATAGGTCAAAACTCAGATCAATATAAAGAATATAACTGATGAATAATTAGATGAAATATAAAACATTTTTTAAATTGATGTTATAGATAACTATATGTTCAAAGTAATAAGAGTAACAAGGTATTAATTCATTCTAATATATGAATATGTGAAATGAATGACAATAATTTTATAAAGGAAATGAGAAATAATGTAGGGAGATTCTCTTAAAAGTTAGTTGTACTACTTGTGAAGTGGCATAGTAATTGTTTAAAGCACATAGCTTAGTGAGAAATGTGTTTTATGAGCTCTTGACAATCTCCAAAATAATTTAAAATAAATAAAACTGATATGCCAAAAGTGGAGAGAAATAAAATATAAAAGTATAAATAAAACAAGAAAATGCACAAAAGGGGGAAGATAAAAAAGAGAATGTGTGCAATTAATACAAAAATACCAGGCTACTATGAACACATTTACTTGTATAATCTAGAAAACCTGGAGGAGATGGATACATTTCTGTAAATATACAACACTTCTAGATTAAACCAGGAAGAAATAGAAACTCTGAACACACCAATAACAAGCAGCAAGATTAAAATGGTAATTAAAATATTACTAACAAAAAAATGTTCACTACCAGATGGATTCACAGATGAATTTTATCAGGCATTCAAAGAAGAATTGGTACCAGTACTATGGACACTATTCCACAAGATAGAGAAAGAAGGAATCTTTTGTAAGTCATTCTATGAATCCAGTATCACCATAATACCCAAAACAAGAAAGGACATAACAGAAAATAAAACTACAGAATAATATTCCTGATGAACATATGCAAAAATCCTCAACAAATTACTCGCTAACTGAATCCAATAGCATACCAAAAAGATAATCTGCCATGATCAAGTGTGTTAGAGACCAGGAATGCAGGAATGGTTTAACATATGCAAGTCAATAAATGTGATACACCTCACAAACAGAAGTAAAAACAAAAATCACATGATCATCTCAATAGACTCAGAAAAAGCATTTGACAAAATCCAGCATCCCTTTATGACTAAAACCCTCAGCAAAATTGGCATAGAAGGGACATACCTTAAGGTAATAAAAGCCAACTATGACAAACACACAGACATCATTATACTGACCTGGGAAAAGTTGAAAACATTACCCCTGAGAACTGGAGGAAGACAAAAATGCACATTTTCACCATTTCTCTTCAATATAGTACTGGAAGCCCTAGCCTGAGCAATCAGACAAGAGAATGATATAAAGGCATCCAAATCGGTAAAGAGGAAGTCAAACTGTTCCTCTTTGCTGATGACATGATCATATACCTAGAAAGCCCTAAAGATTATCCTAAAAGCTCCTAGAACTAATAAATGAATTCAGCAAACTTTCAGGATGCAAACTTAATGTACATAAATCAGTAGCCCTGCTATACACCAACAGCAACCAAGCTGAGAATCAAAAAACACAAGCCCTTTTACAATAGCTGTGAAGAAATAAAATACTTGGGAATATACTTGACCTCTACAAGAAAAACTACAAAACACTGCTGAAAGAAATCATAGATGACACAAACAAATGGAAACACATCCCATACACATGGATGGGTAGAATCAATATTGTGAAAATGACTATACTGCCAAAAGCTATCTACAAATTCAATGCAATTCCCATCAAGATACCACCATCATTTTTCAAGAAACTAAAAAAATTATAATATTCATATAGAACCAAAAAAGTGCCCCACAGAGCCAAAGCAAAACTAAGCAAATAGAACAAATGTGGAGGCATTACGTTGACAGACTTCAAACTATTCTATAAGACCATGGTCACTGAAACAGCATGTTACTGATATAAAAACAGGTGTATAGACTAATGGAACAGAATTAATATCCCAGAAATAAAGCCAAATACTTACAGTCAACTGATATTCGACAAAGCAAGCAAAAACACAAAGTGGGAAAAGGACACCCTATTCAACAAATCATGCTGTAATAATTGTCAAGCCACAAGTAGACAAATGAATCTGGATCCTCATCTCTCACCATATACAAAAATCTACTCAAGATGGATCAAAGACTTAAATCTAAGACCTGAAACCATAAAAGTTTTAGTAGATAATATTGGAAAAACCTTTCTAGACATTGGCTTAGGCCAAGGCTTCATGACCAGGAACCCAAAAGCAAACACAAGAAAAACAAATATAAATAGATGGGACTTAATTAAACTAAAAAGCTTCTGCACAGAAGAAAAAGTAAGCAGAGTAATCAGACAACCCACAGAGTGGGAGAAAATCTTCGCAATCTATATATCTGACAAAGTACTAATATCCGGAATCTACAAGGAACTCAAATAGATAAGCAAGAAAAACAAACAAACAAACAATCCCATCAAAACGTGGGCTAAGGACATGAATATACAAGTCTCAAAAGAAGATATACAAATGACCTACAAACATGAAAAAAATGTTCAACATCACTAATGATCAGGGAACTGCAAATTAAAGCCACAATGCAATACCACCTTACTTCTGCAATAATGGCCATAATCAAAAAATTAAAAAAAAATAGATGTTGGCATGGATGTGGTGAAAAGGAAACACGTTTACACTGTTGGTGGAAATGTAAACTAGTAAAACCACTATGGAAAACAGTGTGGAGATTCCTTAAATAACTAAAACTAGATCTACCGTTTGATCCAGCAATCCCACTCCTGGGTATCTACCCAGAGGAAAATAAGTTATTTTATGAAAAAGATACTTGCACACACGTTTATAGCATCACCATTCACAATTACAAAAATGTGGAACCACCCAGATCCAGATGCCCATCAATCAACGAGTGGATAAAGAAAATGTAAGATATACATACTCAGCCATAAAAAGGAACAAAATAATGGCATTTGCAGCAACCTGGATGGAATTGGAGTTCATTATTCTAGGTGAAGTCACTCGGAAATGGAAAACCAAACATTGTATGTCCTCATTCAAATGTGGTAGCTAAACTATGAGGAAGCAAAAGCATAAGAATGATACAATGGACTTTGGGGACACAGGGGAAAGGGTGAGAGGGGGATGAGCGATAAAAGACTGCACATTGGATACAGGGTACACTGCTTGGGTGATGGGTGCACTAAAATCTCAGAAATCACCACTAACAAACTTGTCCACGTAACCAAACACCACCTGTTCCCCAAAAATCTGTGGAAATAATAATAGTGCAAATTTAAAAAACAGCCATGGTAAACATTAGTCCAACTATATCAATAATCACTTTAAATATGAAATGGTTTAAGTAGATTAAATCAAAGACAGAGACTGGCAAAGTAGATGAAAACAAAAAGCAAAAAAGGACCCAACATTTATAAGATGTTGTCTTCAAGAAACTCCCTTTAAATATAATGGCACTGGTAGATTAAAAAGTAAAGAAACAGAGAAAGATATGTCATGCTCGCAATAACAAAGAGAGAGAAAGGGTAGCTATATTAATTTCAGAGCAAACCAGAGAAAAGAAAATTATAAAAGATAAAAACAGGTATACATAATTATAAAAGAGTTTTTCAAGAAGACATAGCAATCATTAATATGTATGCACTTAATAATAGAGAGTTAAAATGTATGTAGAAAAAACTAGTAAAATGGCAAGGAGAAATAGACGAATCCATGATTAGAGTTGGAGACTTCAACACACACACCCTTCTTTCAGTAGATAATAAATGCAGCAGGCAGAAAATTAGTAATGACATTTTCAACCTGATTATAACTATTTATTGCATGGATTTAAATGGAACTTAAAAATATATTACAGAATGATGCATAATATATCAGGTCAAAAATATCATTACTAATTTTCTGCCTGATGCATTTATTATCTACTATAAAGACACATGCACACATGTGTTTATTCCAGCACTGTTCACAACAGCAAAGACTTGGAACCAATCCAAATGCCCATCAATGATAGATTGGATAAAAAAAAATGTGTCACATATACACCATGGAATATATGCAGCCATAAAAAAGGATGAGTTCATGTCCTTTGCAGGCACATGGATGAAGCGGGAAACCGTCATTCTCAGCAAACTAACACAGGAAGAGAAAACCAAACACTGCATGTTCTCACTCATAAGTGGGAATTGAACAATGAGAACATATGGACACAGGGAGAGGAACATCACACACTGGGGCCTGTTGTGGGGGAGGTTAGGGGAGGGATAGCATTAGGAGAATACCCAGTGTAGATGATGGGTTCACGGGTTTAGCAAGCCACCATAGCATGTGTATACCTATGTAACAAAGCTGCATGTTCTGCACATGTATCCCAGAAATTAAAGTTATATACATATATTCCAACAGAATGAGAAGATACATTTTTCTCAAGCTCACATGGAACATTTCTTAGGATAAAGCACATTCTGTGCTACAAAACACGTTAACATTTTTAAAAGAATAGAAATAAAACAAGGTATTTTCTCAGACTACTGTGAAATTAATGTAGAAATCAATAGCAGAAAAATAGCTTTAAAATTCTCCAAGTAGGTGGAGATTTGTATGCATATCCAAATAATACATGAAACAAAAAAGTATAAATAAAATTTAAATTTATTTCAAAGTAAGTTAGAATGAAATTACAACTTATCAAATTGGTAGGGTGCAATAAAATCTGTGCTTAGAAGGACACTTACAGCATTGAATGTATATATTAGAAAAGAACAAAGATCTAAAATCAGTAACCTAAGTTTCCGTTTAATAAAAGTAGAGAAAAAAGAGTTATTTACATCTAAAGCAATTACCAAAAGTTTAAGAATTAGAACAGAAAGTAATAAAACTGAAAACAGAAAATCGAGAAAAATCAACAAAATTAAAATCTGTTACTTTGAAAATATTAATAAAACTGATAAACATCTATCCAAGATAATCATGATAAAAAAGGAGTAAGATTAATACCAGGAATGAGAGAGTTGTCATCATTACTGATCCCATGGACATTAAAATAATAATGAATAAGTTCAAAAACTATATGCTCAAAAATTTGATAACTTTTATGAAATGTTCCAATACGTCGACGGACACAAACTTCCAAAAGCCTACACAAAGGAAAAAAAATGGTACCAAATCTCTGCAATGTCTTCCATAAAAGACTTACATATTATGTAAAATCTACAATAACAGGAACAGGGCCAGAATGTCCCCTTTCAGAACTCATTTTAAACATTGTACCAGAAGTCCTCACTAAACCAATGAGACTACATTGGGACAGCTTCTAGTTTCTCAAAATTAAGTTTGATATTACATGTTGGTTTTTTGTAGATTTTCTTTATCATGTTGGGGAAGCTCCTTTTTATTTCTAGACTGCAGAGAGGTTTTAAAAAGATATATGATGAATAAGTTTTGGACTTCAAAGCAGCCTTGCATACCTGAAGGAAATCTTACTTGGACATAATATGTAATTCTTTTTAAACATTGTTTGATTAGCTGTTGTAATATTTTATTGAGAATTTTACCTCCATGTTTATAAAAGATAATTGGTCTGTATTTTTTTTTTTTTTTATGGTATCCTTGTCTACTTTTGGTAGCAAGACGATACTGGCCTTCTAGAATAAATTAGGAACTATCGTTTCTGCTTCTGTTTTCTGGAAGACATTGCAGAGATTTGGTACCATTGTTTTCTTAAATGCTTGGTAGAAATTACCAGTGGAAAGTATTTGGCCAGGGTGCTTTATTATGTGAGATTATTAATTATGGATTTAATATTTGAATACCGATAGGCCTATTCAGATTATTTGTTTTTCCTTTGTGTAGGCTTTTGGAAGTTTGTGTCCGTCAACATATTGGAACATTTCATAAAAGTTATCAAAGATGGCTGAACAGGAACAGCTCTGGTCTGCAGCTCCTAGTGTGACTGACAAAGAAGATGGTGATTTCTGCATTTCCAACTGAGGTACTTGCTTCATCTCATTGGGACTGGCTGGACAGTGGGTGCAGCCCATGGAGGGCGAGCTGAAGTAGGGTTGGGCATTGCCTCACTCTGGAAGCACAAGGGGTTGGGGGATTTCCCTTACCTAGCCAAGGGAAGCCGTGACAGAAGGCATCTGAAAAATTGGGACACTCCCACCCAAATACTGCACTTTTTCAAAGGTGCAAAGAGCACACAAGGAGATTATATCCCACGCCTGACTTGGAGGGTCACATGCCCATGGAGCCTTGCTCACTGCTAATGCAGCAGTCTGAGATCAACCAGTGAGGCAGCAGCCTAGCAAGGGGAGGGGTGTCTGCCATTGCTGAGGCTGGAATAGGTAAACAAAGCAGCTGGGGAAGCTCGAACTGGGCAGAGCCCACTGCAGCTCTGCAAGGCTGGCTGCCTCTGTAGACCCCACCTCTGGGGGCAGGGCATAGCTGAACAAAGGGCAGCAGAAACTTCTGCAGATTCAATCGTCCCTGTCTGACAGCTTTGAAGAGAGCAGTGGTTCTCCCAGCATGGTGTTTGAGCTCTGAGAATGAACAGACTGCCTCCTCAAGTGGGTTCCTGACACCCCGTGTAGCCTAATTGGGAAACACCTCCCAGTAGGGGCCAACTGACACCTCATACAGGCAGGTGCCCCTCTGGGAAGAAGCTTCCAGAGGAAGGATCAGGCAGTAATATTTGCTATTCTGCAGTATTTGCTGTTCTGCAGCCTCCACTGGTGATACCCAGGCAAACAGGGTCTGGAGTGGACCCCAGCAAACTCCAACAGCCCTGAAGCTGAGGGACCTGACTGTTAGCAGCAAAACTAACAAACAGAAAGGAATAGCATCAATATCAACAAAAAGGACATACACATCAAAACCCCATCTGTAGGTCACCAGCACCAAAGACCAAAGGTAGATAAAACCACAAAGATGGGGAGAAACCAGGGCAGAAAAGTTGAAAATTCTAAAAACCAGAGCACCACTTCTCCTCCAAAGGATCACAGCTTCTCACCAGCAACAGAACAAAGCTGGATGGAGAATGACTTTGACAAGCTGACAGAAGTAGGCTTCAGAAGGTCAGCAATAAGAAACTTCTTCCAGCTAAAGAAGGATGTTCGAACCCATTGCAAGCAAGCTAAAAACCTTGAAAAAGACTAGACGAATGGCTAGCTAGAAAAAACAGTGTAGAGAAGTCCTTAAATGACCTGATGGAGCTGAAAACCATGGCAGGAGAACTACGTGATGCATGCACAAGCTTCAATAGCTGATTCGATCAAGTGGAAGAAAGGGTATCACTGATTGAAGATCAAATTAATGAAATAAAACGAGAAGAGAAGTTTAGAGAAAAAAGAGTAAAAAGCAATGAACAAAGCCTCCAAGAAATATGGGACTATGTGAAAAGACCAAATCTACGTTTGATTGGTGACAGGGGCAGTACCTAAAAGTGACAGGGAGAATGGAACCAAGTTGGAAAACACTCTGCAGGATATTATCCAGGAGAACTTCCCCAACCTAGCAAGGCAGGTCAACATTCAAATTCAGGAAATACAGAGAACACCACAAAGATACTCCTCAAGAAAAGCAACCCCAAGACATATAATCGTCAGATTCACCAAGTTGGAAATGAAGGAAAAAATGTTAAGGGCAGCCAGAGAGAAAGGTCGGGTTACCCACAAAAGGAAGCCCATCAGACTAACAGCAGATCTCTCGACAGAAACTCTACAAGCAAGAAGAGAGTGGGGTCCAATATTCAACATTCTTAAAGAAAAGAATTTTCAACCCAGAATTTCATATCCAGCCAAACTAAGCTTCATAAGTGAAGGAGAAATAAAATGCTTTACAGGCAAGCAAATGCTGAGAGATACTGTCACCACCAGGCCTGCCTTACAAGAGCTCCTGAAGGAAGCACTAAACATGGAAAGGAACAACCGGTACCAGCCACTTCAAAAACATGCCAAATTGTAAAGACCATCAATGCTAGGAAGAAACTGCATCAACTAATGGGCAAAGTAACCAGCTAACATCATAATGACAGGATCAAATTCACACATAACAATATTAAACTTAAATGTAAATGGGTTAAATGCCCCAATTAAAAGACACAGAATGCAAATTGGATAAAGAGTCAAGACCCATCAGTGTACTGTATTCAGGAGGCCCATCTCACGTGCAGAGACACATATAGGCTCAAAATAAAGTGATGGAGGAAGATCTACCAAGCGAATGGAAAGCAAAAAAAAAAAAAAAAAAAAAAAAAAAAAAGCAGGGTTTGCAATCCTAGTTTCTGATAAACCAGACTTTAAACCAACAAAGATCAAAAGAGACAAAAAAGGCCATTAAATAATGGTAAAAGGATCAATTCAACAAGAAGAGTTAACTATCCCAAATAAAAATGCTCCCAATACAGGAGCACCCAGATTCATAAAGCAAGTCCTTAGAGACCTACAAAGAGACTTAGACTCCCACACAATAATAATTTGAGACTTTAACACCCCACTGTCAACATTAGACAGATCAATGAGACAGAAGGTTAACAAGGATATCCAGGACTTGAACTCAGCTCTGCACCAAGTGGACCTCATATAAATCTACAGAACTCTCCATCCCAAATCAACAGAATATAAATTCTCCTCAGCACCACATTGCACTTATTCCAAAATTGACCACATAGTTGGAAGTAAAGCACTCCTCAGCAAATGTAAAAGAATAGAAATCACAACAAACTGTCTCTCAGACCATAGTGCAATCAAATTAGAAATCAGGATTAAGAAACTCACTCAAAACCGTACAACTACATGGAAACTGAGCAACCTGCTCCTGAGTGACTACTGGGTAAATAATGAAATGAAGGCAGAAATAAAGATGTTCTTTGAAACCAATGAGAACACAGACACAACGTACCAGAATCTCTGGGACACATTTAAAGCAGTGTGTAGAGGGAAATTTATAGCACTAAATGCCCACAAGAGAAAGCAGGAAAGATCTAAAATCAACACCCTAACAACACAATTAAAAGAACTAGAGAAGCAAGAGCAAATACATTCAAAAGTCAGCAGAAGGCAAGAAATAACTAAGATCAGAGCAGAACTGAAGGAGATAGAGACACAAAATCCCTTCAAAAAATCAATGAATCCAGGAGCGAGCTGGTTTTTTGAAAAGATCAACAAAATTGATAGACTGCTAGCAAGACTAATAAAGAAGAAAAGATAGAAAAATCAAATATATGCAATAAAAAATGATGAAGGGGATATCACCCCCAATCCCACAGAAATACAAACTACCATCAGAGAATACTATAAACACCTCTGTGCAAATAAGCAAGAAAATCTAGAAGAATCGGACACATTCCTGGACACATACACTCTCCCAAGACTAAACCAGGAAGAAGTTGAATCTCTGAATAGACCAATAAGAGGTTTTGAAATTGAGGCAATAATTAATAGCGTACCCACCAAAAAAAGTCCCGGACCAGATGGATTCACAGCCTAATTCTACCAGAGGTACAAAGAGGAGCTGGTACCATTCCTTCTGAAACTATTCCAATCAATAGAAAAAAAAGGGAATCCTCCCTAACTCATTTTATGAGGCCAGCATCATCCTGATACCAAAACCTGGAAGAGACACAACAAAAAAAGAGAATTTTAGACCAATATCCCTGATAAACATCGATGCAAAAATCCTCAATAAAATACTGGCAAAAAGAATCCAGCAGCACATCAAAAAGTTTATCCACCACGATCAAGTCGGCTTCATCCCTGGGATGCAAGGCTGTTTCAACATACACAAATCAATAAACATAATCCATCACATAAACGGAACCAACGACAAAAACCACATGATTATCTCAATAGATGCAGAAAAGGCCTTTGACAAAATTCAACAGCGCTTCATGCTAAAAACTCTGAATAAACTAGGTATCGATGGAACGTATCTCAAAGTAGTAAGAGCTGTTTATGACAACCCCAAAGCCAATATCATACTGAATGGGCAAAAACTGGAAGCACTCCCTTTGAAAACTGGCACAAGACAAGGATGCCTTCTTTCACCACTCCTATTCAACATAGTGTTGGAAGTTCTGGCCAGGGCAATCAGGCAAGAGAAAGAACTAAAGGGTATTCAATTAGGAAAAGAGGAAGTCAAATTGTCCCTGTTTGCAGATGACATGATTGTATATTTAGAAAACCCCATCATCTCAGCCCAAAATCTCCTTAAGCTGATGAGCAACTTCAGCAAAGTCTCAGGATACAAAATCAATGTGAAAAAATCAGAAGCATTCCTATACACCAATAACAGACAAACAAAGAGCCAAATCATGAGGTAACTCCCATTCACAATTGCTACAAAGAGAATAAAATACCTAGGAATTCAACTTACAAGGGATGTGAAGGACCTCTTCAAGGAGAATTACAAAGTACTTCTCAACAAAATAAAAGAGGACACAAACAATGGAAGTACATTCCATGCTCATGGATAGGAAGAATCAATATCGTGACAATGGCCATACTGCCTAAGGTAATTTATAGATTCAATGCCATCCCCATCAAGCTACCAATGACTTTCTTCACAAAATTGGAAAAAAATACTTTAAATTTCATATGGAACCAAAAAAGAGCCCATATAGCCACAACAATCCCAAGCAAAAAGAACAAAGCTGGAGGCATCATGCTACCTGACTTCAAACTATACTACAAGTTTTAAGTATGGTACTGGTACCAAAACAGAGATGTAGACCAGTGGAACAGAACAGAGGTCTCAGAAATAACACCACACATCTACAACCATCTGATCTTTGACAAACCTAACAAAAACAGACAATGGGGAAATGATTCCCTATTTAATAAACAGTGCTGGGAAAACTGGCTAGCCATATGTAGAAAGCTGAAACTGGATCCTTTCCTTACACTTTATACAAAAATTAATTCAAGATGGATTAAAGACTTAAATGTTGGACCTAAAATCATAAAAACCCTAGAAGAAAACCTAGGCAATACCATTCAGGACATAGGCATGGGCAAAGACTTCATGAGTGAAACACCAAAAGCAATGGCAACAAAAGCCAAAATAGACAAATGGGATCTAATTAAACTAAAGAGCTTCTGCACAGCAAAAGAAACTACTAGTTCTAGATCCTTGAGGAATTGGCACACTGTCTTCCACAGTGGTTGAACTAGTTTACACTCCCACCAACAGTGTAAAAGTGTTCCTATTTCTCCACATCCTCTCCAGCATCTGTTGTTTCCTGACTTTTTAATGATGGCCATTCTAAATGGCATGAGATGGTATCTCATTGTGGTATCTCATTGTTCACTCCATCAGAGTGAACAGACAACCTATAGAATGGGAGAAAATTTTTGCCATCTACCCATCTGACAAAGGGTCAGAATCCACAAAGAACTTAAACAAATTTACAAGAGAAAACAAACAACCCCATCAAAAAGTGGGCAAAGGCTATGAACAGACACTTCTCAAAAGAAGACATTTATGCAGCCAACAGACACATGAAAAAATGCTCATCATCACTGGTCATCAGAGAAATGCAAATCAAAACCACAATGAGATACCATCTCATGCCATTTAGAAAGGCCATCATTAAAAAGTCAGGAAACAACAGATGCCGGAGAGGATGTGGAGAAATAGGAACACTTTTACACTGTTGATGGGAGTGTAAACTAGTTCAACCACTGTGGAAGACAGTGTGGCAATTCCTCGAGGATCTAGAACTAGAAATACCATTTGACCCAGTGGTCCCATTACTGAGTATATACCCAAAGAATTATAAATCATGCTACTATAAAGACACAGGCACACATATGTTTAATGCGGCACTATTCACAACAGCAAAAAGTTGGAACCAACCCAAATGTCCATCAATGATAGACTTGATTAAGAAATGTGGCACATATATACCATGGAATACTATGAAACCATAAAAAAGGATGAGTTCATGTCCTTTGCAGGGACATGGGTGAAGCTGGAAAGCATCATTCTGAGCAAACTATCACAAGGACAGAAAACCAAATACTGCATGTTCTCACTCATAGGTGGGAATTGAACAATGAGAACACATGGACACAGGGCAGGGAACATCACAGACGGGGGCCTGTCGTGGGGTGGGGGGCAGGTGGAGGGATAGCATTAGGAGAAATACCTAATTTAAATGATGAGTTAATGAATGGAGCAAACCAACATGGCACATGTATAGCTATGTAACAAACCTGCACGTTGTGCACATGTACCCTAGAACTTAAAGTATATAGAAAAAAAAGTTATCAAATTTTTGAGCATACAGTTTTTTAACTTATTCATTATTATTTTAATGTCCATGGAATCAAAAGTGATGACAACTCTCTCATTTCTGGTATTAATCTTTCTCTCTTTTTATCATGATTAGCTTGGATAGATGTTTATCAGTTTTATTAATATTTTCAAAGTAACAGATTTTATTTTTGTTGATTTTTCTCAATTTTCTGTTTTCAGTTTTATTACTTTCTGTTCTAATTCTTAAAATTTTGGTAATTGCTTTAGGTGTAAATAACCCTTTTTCTCTACTTTTATTCAAAGGAAACTTAGGTTACTGATTTTAGGTCTTTGTTCTTTCCTAATATATGTATATACAGACTATATATATCTATATATATATATACACACACACACATATATAGTCTGTATATATATATATATACTCTGCATATATGTATATATACATATAGTCTATATATATAAATGTTTAAATATATAAATCTGTATATATACAGATTTAAGAGAGAGAAATAAAGTTTTCTTAGTTTTTAGATGGCATGATTGTTTATGCAGAACATTTAAAAAAAAGATCCAAACAAAGAAAGGAACTAAAAACTCCAGGATGTAATAAGCAATTCTACATAGTAAGGTTATTAGATATAGAGTTTATGTATAAAATTCAACTTCTTTTTTTTACTCCAGCAATGAATAATTAAAAGTTGAAATTATGTACACGGATAAAGCTGGAAACCATCATTCTCAGCAAACTAACACAGAAATAGAAAACCAAACACTGCATGTTCTCACTCTTAAGTGGGAGATGAACAATAAGAACACATGGACACGGGGAGTGGAAGGAACATCACAAACCTGAGCCTGTCAGGGGGTGGGGGACAAGGAGAGAGAGAGCATTAGGACAAATACTTAATGCATGCCGGGCTTAAAACCTAGATGATGGGTTGATGGGTGCAGCAAACTACGATGGCACATGTATACCTATGTAACAAACCTGCAAGTTCTGCACTTGTATTCTAGAGCTTAAAGTAAAGAAAAAACAAAACAAAACAAACAAACAAAAAACCTAACCCTCAAGGGAAAAAAACCCCACAAAATCATTTACACTGGCAAAAAATAAAATACTTAGATTAAAAACTAACAAATTAAGCCCATTATCCACTTTTGGAAAACAACAAAACTGATAAAATAAACAATACATTTAATTAAATATAGACCATTATCTTCCCATTTAGGGTACAAACTTTCACTTATGATACCAATAAGTTTTGGGGATCTAATGTGCAACATGGTGACTATTGTTAAAAATATAATATATACTTGTAACTTGTTAACATAGTAGATTTTAGATGTTCTCATTATTTAGAAAAGATAACTATGTGAGGTGATGAATGTTAAACTGTTGGTTTGTGGCAAGTATTTCACAATGTATACATATACCAATAGAACACATTGTATACACTCTATGTATATACATTGTATACAGTATATGTGCCATATAAAATACATATTTATAAAATATATATTCAATTTTTATTTGCCAATTAAATATGAATAAGGCTTAAAACAATTTTAAAAACATAAAATAAATTAATAAATGAACAAACAGATGTACCATGTATTAGAAGACTAAATATTGTTAAGTTCATACTCTCCAATTTGATCTATATATCCAAGACAATCCTAATCCTAAAAATAGCATGCTAATCCCTAGTATGCTCTTTTGTGAATATCAACAAATGTATTCTTAAATTTATATAGAAAGGCAAAGCAGCCAGAATCATCAACAAAACACTGAAAAATAGCAAAGTTGGAACACTGACATGATCCAACTCTAAGACTTCATAAAAAGCTACAGTGATCCAGACAGTATGGTACTGATAAAAATAACAGACACTTTTATGTATGGAACTGAATGGAGAGGCCAGAAATAGATGATAGTATGAAAACAGATGAAAATAGTCAACTGATCTCTGACAAAAAAAAAAAACAAAGGCAATTCAATGAAGAAAAAATGTTATTCTTTCCAACAAATACTGCTAAAAATTTAATGTCAATTTGCAAAAAGTTAATCTAGACAATGATGTTACACCTTTAACAAATATTAACTAAAAATGGTTCACAGACTTAAACAGAAAACAAAATGAATACTAAACCTTCTACGAAATAATATAGGAGAAAATCTCAATGATCTTGGATTTGGCAATGAGTTTTTAGAAGCAACACTTAAAGCATAATTCATGAAAGAAAAATGTGACATTTGACTTTATTAAATAAAAAAAACTTGTCCTCTGTGAAATAAATTATTAAGAGAATGAAAAGGCAAGCCACAGACTCATAGAAAATATTAGCAAACATATATCTGATAAAAGACTTATATACAAAATATACAAAAATCTCCTAAAACAACAATAAGAAACAGCCATGTCTTTTTTAAAAAAGATAGGCAAAAATTTTAAATAGATACCTCACCAAAGAAAATATACAAATGCAAATAAGCATGTGTAAAGGTGCTACTACCATATATAATTAGGGAATTGTAAATTAAAACAACAGTGAAACACCTTTACATACATATTGGAATTACTAAAATCCAAAATATTTGTTTATCAAATACTTGCACATATGTTGAGCAATACTCACATTACTGTAGATAATGTGAAATGATACAGCCACTTTGGAAGACAGTTTGGCAGTTTCTTACCATGATAAACATAGCCTCTCCATACCAATCAACAACTGTGACTTTAAGTATTTATGTACTGAGTTAAACTTATGTCCTCACAAAATACTGCACACAAAAATTTACGGCAGCTTTACCCAGAATACCAAAAAATTCCAGAAGTAACTAAGATTTCCTTCAACAGGCAAGTAGACAAACTGAGACACATCTATAAAATAGAATATTATTAAGAGAAAAAAAGAAGTTATTAATCTATGAAAAAACATGAAAGAATCTTAGATGTACATATTTAAAGTGATAAGAGCTACACTGAAAAGACTACATATTGTATAAGTCCCAATACAGGACATTCTAGAAAAGGCAAAACTATAGAAACAATAAAAAGCTCCGTTGTTGTCAAGGGTTTTACAGCAGAATAAGATATCAATAAATGAAGCACAGGGGAATTTTAATGCAATGGAACAATTTTGTCTGAAACTATAGTGGCGGAGAGATGGCATTATACGTTGGTCAAACTCCGTGGGACAGATAAAAGTGAAACAGTGTAAATTCTGGACTTTAGTTAATAATATTGTGTTACACACAGAAAAAAATACCTAGAAATACATCTAACAAAGGAGGTCAAAGTTCTCAACAAGGAGAACTACAAAACAGTGCCAAAAAAAATTGTAGATGAAATAAATAAAAAAAATTTCCATGCTCATTGACTGAAGAATCAATATTGTTAAAATGGCCATACTCCCCAAAGGAATCCATAGATTCAATGCTATTCTCACCAAAATACCAACATTATTGCCCACAGAATTAGAAAAATAAAAACTATTCTAAACTTCACATGAAACCAAAAAGAGCCCAAATTGCTGAAGCAATTGTAAGCAAAAAGAACAAGGCTGAAGGCATTACATTCCCCAACTTCAAACTATACTACAAGGCTGCAATAAGAAAAACAACATGGGACTTGTATAAAAACAGACACCAAGGCCAATGGAACAGAATAGAGAACCCAGACAGAAAGCTACACACCTACAACCAACTGATCTTCAACAAAGTGAAAAAAAAAAAAAAGCAATGAGGAAAAGACTTTCTATAAAATAAATGGTGCTGGGATAACCGGCTATCTATATGCAGAAGGATGAAACTGGACCCTTACCTGTCACCATATAAAAATAATTAACTCACGATGAATTAAAGGAAAATCTAAGACCTAAAACAATAGAAATTCTAGAAGGAAGCCTAGGAAATACCCTTCTGAACATCAATGTTGGTGAATAATTTATGACTAAGTCCTCAAAAGCCATTGAAACAAAAACGAAGCTTGACAAATGAAACCTAAGTAAACTAAAAAGCTTCTGCACAGCAAAAGAAACTACAGAGTAAACAGACAACCTACAGCATGGGAGAAAATATTCACAAACTGTGCTCTTGACAAAGTTCTAATATCCAGAATCTGTAAGAAATTTAAACAAATCAACGAGCAAAAAACAATCCTATTAAAAACTGGGCAAAAGATATCAACAGGCACTTCTCAAAAGAAGACATATAAGTGGCCAATAAGCGTGAAAGAATTCTAAATATCACGAATCACCAGAGAAATGCAAATCAAACCACAGTAAGATGCAACCTCACAGCAGTCAGAATAGCTATTATTAAGAAGTGAAAATATAACAGATGTTTATGAGGCTGTGGAGAAAAGGGAACACTTATACACTGCTGTTGGGAATATAAATTAGTTAAGCCATTGTGGAAAGCAGTTTGGAAGTGTCTTAAAGAACTTAAAACAGAACTACAATTTGACCAAGCAACCCCATTATTAGATATATACCCAAAGGAAAACAAATCATTCTACCAAAAAGACACATGCACTCATGTTTATTGCAGCACTATTTACAATAGTAAAGACATGGAATTACCCAAGATTCCCAGAAGTGGTGGATTAGATTTAGAAAATGTGGTACATGTACACCATGAAATGCTATGCAGCCATAAAAGAACAGAATCATGTTCTTTGCAGCAACATTGATGCAGCTGGAAGCTATCATTCTAAGAAAATTAACACAGAAACAGAAAAATAAATGTTATCACATTTAAGTGAGAGCTAAGCATTGAGTACACATGAATGTAAACATGCTAACAAAAGACACTGGAGACTACTGGAGAAGGGAGGGTGTAGGGGGCAGGGGGCAAGAGTTGAAAAACTACCTATTGGCTAATATGCTCACTACCTGGGTGATGGGTTGAATTATACTCGAAACCTCAGCATCACACAATAAACTCTTGTAACTAATCTGTGCATGTACCTCCTAGATTTAAAATAGAAGTTATAATTTAAAATTATTATTAATAATAATATTGTGTCATTATTGGTTAATTAATTATGACTAATGTATCACTAATGCAAGATTTTGGCAATAGGAAAAACTGTGTACACGGAGGGGTACATATGAGAATTTTTTGTACTCTTTGTCAATTGTGTTGTATATCTAAAAGTGTTCTAAAATATAAAGACTTTTAATTAAAATTAAAGCACACCAAAAACAGGCAAACAATATGAATAGAAGTTTCTCCAAAGAAGGCATATAGTTGGGCAATAAGCACACTAAAATATTTGCAAAATCATTAGCTATTAGGAGAATGTTATTCAACACAATTGGATACCATATTACACTTATTATCATGGCTAAAAGACAGGTAATAACAAATGTTGGCAAGGATGTGGAAGAATTATAACCTTTATAATGGCTACTGTGAGTATAAAATGGTGCATCCACATAGCAAAATATTTTCTCAGTTTCTCAAAAAACTAAATATAGATTCACCATATAACCTAGCAATTCTACTCAGGTTTGGGTCATAATCCCAAAAAACACTATCTCAAACACCATAATCACAAATGTTGAAATTACTAAAGATTAAAATCCTTAAAGTCTAAAATTACAAAAATTACAATTCCAAAAGGTCAAAATGCTAAAAATATATTTTGAACAAAAGTATTTAAAAGACATTTATTCACATTTTTAATATGAGATTCATTTGAGAAACATATTAAAAACATGGCCAAACACTTCATAAGCCACTTTATAAAGTGGGCAAAAATAATATACATATTTTTGCAAATATAAACACTTAGGTATGCTAATGATAACTACATAACAGTTGTGAGCAGATAAATCATATTCACAAAGAAATAAGTCACAAACAGAATGTATAAATGCTTATCACTATGGTTAGTAATTGTGTGCACCCAGCTTTATAACTACAATTATCTGAAGCACTGCGACAGACAACCTGTCTTTTGACAAGATGGATCAAAAACTGTGATAGTTACCTATCGCATATTCAGTTGCTCAAAGATATCTTAATAAGTTTTATCTATCACAAAAGCAGATGTACAAAATGACTATCTCTTTATTGAGAATGTTTCAATGTTTTTATGCACATGCACAATGTTTACATACAAAGTCAACATTATAATAATGCACTTTTATGAAGCTGAATTTCTGATATCTAAGGCAGCAGGGGAAATGGCTCTTACAGCTATGAAAGAGAGACTCCTGCATTTGATATCTCTGGGTCTCTGTTTGATTAGATAGTGCTTGCCAACTGTATGAGTCCATTCTCACGCTGCTATAAAGATACTACTCGAGACTGGGTAATTTATAAACAAACGAGGTTTAATTGACTCACATTTCCGCATGGCTCGGGAGGCCTCAGGAAACTTACAATCATGGCAGAAGGGGAAGCAGGCACCTTCTTCACAAGGTGGCAGGAGAGAGTGTGAGCAAAGGAGGAAATTGCCAAACACTTATAAAACCATCAGATCTCATGAGAATGAACTCACTATCATGAGAACAGTGTGGGTAAAACTGCCCCCATGATGCAATCACCTCCCACCAGATTCTTTCCTCAACACCTGGGGATTACAATTCAAGATGACATTTGGGTGGGGACACAAAGCCTAACCATGTCACCAACATTGAGGCAGATTTTCTCTACCTAGTCCACTCTGACTCACAAACTAATCTCTGGAAACTCTCACATCCACACTCAAAATAATGTTTTACCAGGTTTCAAGATATTTGTTAATCCAGTTAAATCGACACCTAAAATCAAACCCACAAGTCCAGCCTTTGTCAACTTGGGACCCATACACATCTCCTTAAACCATACATAATTTCTAAGAAGACAATAAGCAGGTAATAGTTTCACCTAACATGATGCAACTAACAGGATAGAACACTCCTGTATGAAATTAAAAACACACTAATCCCTTTCCCAGAATTTGCTTTCAGGATTGTAACATTCAGGATTTTAACCTTTTGGAATTGCGATTTTGTAGGAATTTTAGATGTTAGGCATTTTAGACTTTAGGATTTTGACTTATTTTGTTCTTAAGGGATTACAACATTTGGGATTATGGTGTTTGAAGTTGGGTCTTTTGGGATTAATAATCTGCAGCTATTTTACTGTTACATATATGCCCCCCAAAAGGAAACATATGTTCACAGAAACATGCGCATAAATGTTTATAGCAGCATTATTCATAATGGCCAAAAAGCAAAAAGAACCCAAATGTCCATGAATTAATAAATGAATAAACAAAATGTAGTATATCCATAAAATAACATATTACTCAGTCATAAACTGTAATAGAGTACTGGTACATGATACAACAAGGATAATCCTTGAAACCATTTTGCTAATTTAAAAAGTGAGTTGCAAAGGACTACATAGTATATGATCCCATTTCTATCAAATGTCCATAATAGGTAAATTAATAAAAACAGAAAGTAGAGTAATGGCTGCCTGGGGATGAAGAAATTTTGGGATAAAATGGAGGATGAATGTTAAGATATATGGAGTTTCTTTTTGGAGTGAAGGAAATGTTCTAAAATTTGTTACAGCTACATAGGTCTGTGGATATACTAAAAACATTAAATTGTTCACTTTAAATGAGTGAATTGTATGGTGTGTGAACTATATCTACATAAAAGTTTTATATTAAAATCATAATTTCATTTTTCATCTAAAGAAAATAAAAGAAGAACACAGATTCCACAGGCAAAGCAAAATAGCCAAAGAGAAGCCTGCTCTGATCAACCTCCTCACAGGAACACTAAATTTGACAACTATCTATACACATCAAAACATATGCATAAAAACCAAAAATCGTATGAATGATCACATTACCTAGTCTTAACTGCATATAACTAAATGAGGCACTGAAAAGAGTAGGAAAAACCATCTCAATTTGCTGATCCCACCCCTTTCCAATCCTTCAGCAGCAGCCACTTGGCACAGAGAGAGAACCTGTGATCATGGTAGAGGGATAACTTAGTGATTGTGGAATTCTACATTAAAACTCAGTGATTCCAACACCATGCAGAATTCATCTGATGCCCACGGAGGGAACATTTAGCCTAGCCCTAACAAGAGAGGAGTCACCAATCCTAGTGATCAGAACTTGCATTTCAGCAAGCCTTGCCATCATTGGCTAAAGTGCCCTGGGGTCCTACATGAACGCAAAAGGGTGTCTAGGGACACAGACTGCAAGTCCTAGGCAAGGCTTAGTGGTATCCTGGGCTCAGAACTAGTGGACTTGGGGGCATCTGACCTAGTGACACACACACCAAATATGTTAGATAAGGGAGTGCTTGTGTCATCCCTATCCCAACCCCAGGCAGTGCAGCTCACGACTTCAAAATAAGCCCTTCCTTCTATTTGAGGAGAGGAGAGGGAAGAGAAAAGGGATTTTGTCTTGCATTTTGGATACCTTCTTAGCCAAAGTAAGACAGGGTAATGGGAAGAGTCATAAGGCACCCATTACAGGCTATAGCTCCCACAAAACATTTCTAAACAAACCATGAGCCGGAAGGGAACCTGCTGCCTTGAAGGGAAGGACCCAGTCCTGGCAGGATTTATCACCTGCTCACTAAAGAGCCTAGGGACCCTGAATAATAAGAAGTGGTTATATCAGGTAGTACAGGTCATGGGTGTTGGATGAGACTCTGAGACATGTTAGCTTCAGGTGTGACCTAGCATATTCACAGATGTGGTGGCTATGAGAGATCCCTTCTGCTTGAGAAAAGGAGAGGAAAGAATAAAGGGGATTTTGACTTGCACTTTAGGTACCAACTCAGTTATAGTAAGGAAGAGCACAAAGATTGCTCTTAGGGTCCCCAATTCCAGGCCTTGGCTCTTGGATGCCTTTTTTGAACTTACCCTGGGGCAGAGAGCGGCTCACTTCTCTGAAGGCTTGGCAGCATTCACAACAAGCTGAATAAAGAGCCCTTGGGCCTTAAGTAAACATCAGTGGTACCCTGGCACTACTCCCCATGGCCTGTGGTGGTAGTGAGCATGGGGAGAGACTCCTCTGCCTGGAGAAAGGGGAGAAAAGAGTGGGAAGAATTTGTCTTGTGGTTTTGATGCCATCTTAGCTGCAGTAGAATAGAACACCAGTTAGATTTCTAAGGTTACTGACTCCAGGCCCTGGCCCCAGACAATAGCTCTGAATGTGCCTGGGGCTTGTGTAACTTGCTGCTCCAAAGATAAAGACACAAGACTGGCGGAATTCATCACCTGCTGATTGTAGAGCCCTAGGACCTTCAGCAAACGTAGGCAGCAGTCAGGTAGTAGTTACAGTAGGGCTTGGGCAGGACCTAGTGCTGTGTTGGCTTCAAGTTTGACCTAGCAAATTTCTAGCGGCTATGGCCAAAAGGGTACTTGTGTCACTACTCTCCCAGCTCCAGGCAGCTCAGCAAAGAGAAAGAGAGTTAACATTTGGGGAGAAGAAAGTAAGGGGAGAGAACAAATGTCTCTGCCTTGTAATTCAGATAATTCTTACAGATTTTACCTAAGACCACTAAGGCAATACCTTTATGAGTCTGCAAGAACTACAGCACCACTGGACTTAAGGTGCCCCAAAGGCAGATATGGGTGCAGTGACCATAATTGTAGATCACAACATGCAAGTCCCTTTGAATATCTGGAACACTTTATTAAAAATGAGGGGTACAAACAAGCCCAGACTGCAAAGATTGCAATGCTCAAAGACTGACAAACATCCACAAGCATCAAAACCATACAGGAACACACGATCTCACCAAACAAACTAAATAAGGCACCAGGTCCAAATTCTGGAGAGATAGAGGTAGGTTACCTTTCAGACAGACCCTTCAAAATAGCTGTATTGAAAAAAACTCAAATAAACTCAAATAGCTTATGAGTAATATGCTATTTTATGGCTATACTACATTTTGTTTATTCATTTATTAATTCATGGACATTTGGGTTCTTTTAACTTTTTGGCCATTATGAATAAAGCTGCTATAAACATTTATGTGCATGTTTTTGTGAGCATATGTTTCCTTTTGGTGGGGGGTGTATACGTAACAGTAGAATAGCTGCAGTTTATTAATCCTAAAAGACACAGAGAACTAATTCATAATTTTATGAGATAAATTTTAAAATGAAATAGAAACAGTTGAAAATAATTAAGCAGAAATCCTGCAGTTGAAAAATGCAATTGATATACTGAAGAATGCAACAGAGTCTCTTAACAGCAGAATTGATCAAGCAGAAGAAAGGATTCATGAGCTTGAGGACAGGCTATTTGAAAATACACACTCAGAGAAGACAAAAAATTAATAAAGAATAAAGCACAGCAACAATAACTAAAAAATAGCCTCAAACAGGGAAATCTAAGAGTTATTTGTTGTATAGAGGAGGTATAGAGAGTGATACATGTAGAAAGACTATTCAAAAATAGCAATAAAGAACTTCCCAAACATAAAGAAAAATATCAATATTCAGGTACAAGTAGGCTAAAGAACACCAAGTATTTAACCAAAAGAAGACTACCTCAAGGTATTTATTAAACTCACAAAGGTAAGGGGTGAGGAAAGGATCTTCAAAGCAACAAAATAAAAGAAACAAATAACATACAATGGAGCTCCAATACTTCTTTGCAGCAGACTTCTCAGTAGAAATCTTACAGGTTAGGAGAGAGTGGCGTAACATATTTAAAGTGCTGAAGAAAAAAACATTTACCCTAGAAGAGTATGTGCGGTGAAAATATCTTTCAAACACAAAGGAGAAATAAAGACCTTCCCGTTCAAACAAAAGCTGAGAAATTTCATCAAAACAAGACCAGTCCTCCAAGAAATACTAAAAGGACTTCTTAAATCAGAAACAAAAGGATGTTAATGAGCAATAGTAAATCATTTGAAAGTACAAAACACACTGATAATAATAAGTACACAGAAAAACACAACATATTATAATACTGTAAGTTTGGTGGGTAAACTACTCATATCTTAAGTAGAAAGACAAAATGATGACCCAATCAAAACTATTAATAAAAACATTTTCAATACATAGACAATACAATAAGACATTACTGGAAGCAACAAAAAATTAAGAGCAGAAAGACAAAGTTACAGTATAGAAACTTATTAGTTTTGTTTTTGTTTAGATTGTTTATACAGTCAGTGTGAAGTTGTCATTGTTTTAAAATAATGGAACATAATATATTATTTTCAAGCTTCATGGTAAATCAAACCTAAAAACACACAATGGAGTCACATAAAATAAAGGAGAGGAAATTAAATTATTCCCCAGGAAAAATCACCTCCACTTAAAGCAAGACAGGAATAATGTAGATCACAAAACAACGAGGAAAAATGTAGGCCACAGAACAACCAGAAAGCAACAAGATATCAGGAGTAAGTCCCTAATTATTAACAATAACATGGAATATAAAAGGACAAAACTCTCCAATCAAAACACATAGAATGGCTGAATGAGTAAAATACAAGACCAAATTACCTATTCCCTACACAAAAATACACTTCACATACAAAGACGCACATAGATTAGAAATGAAAGTATGGAAAAAGATGTTCCATGACAATGGAAACCAAATGGAGAAGAAGAGTCTATGCTTATATCAGTTAAAATAGATTTCAAGACAAAGACCATAATAAAGATAAAGAAGGTCATTTTATAATAATAAAAAGGTCAATGCAGCAAGATGATCTAACAAGTGTAAATATACATGCACCAAACACTGAACCATCCAGATATAGAAACCAAATATTACTAGAGCTACACAGAGAGATAGATGCTAATAAAATAATAATGTGTGTATGCTTCAACACTCCAATTTCAACATCTCACAGATCATGTAGAGAAAAAATAAACAAAGAAATGTCAGATGTATGCTGCACTATAGACCAAATGGACTGCATAGATATTTATAGGACATTTTATCTAATGGCTGCAGAATACATTCTTTATTCTTTCCCTCAACACATGGATTAATCTTAAGGGTAGACTATGTGTTATGCAACAAAGTAAGTCTTAAAAAATTGAAAAAAGTTGAAATAATATCAAGAATCTTCTCAGACCACAATGGCAAAAAAACAAAAAAAAAAGAGAGAAAAAGCAGAAATCAATAAAGAAGAAATTTGGAAACTATACAAACACATGGAAATTAGGCAATAAGCTCCTGAATGACCAGTGAGTCAATGAAGTGATTTAGAAGTAAGTTAAAATATTTTTTGAAAAAAATGAGAATGGAAAAACGATATGCCAAAACTTGTGGTATACAGCAAAAGCAGTACTAACAGGGAAATTTATAGCTACAAGTATGTACATCCAAAAAGAAGCAAGACTTCAAATAAACAACATAAGAATGCATATTAAAGAATTTGAAAAACAAGAGAAAACCAAACCTAAATTTAATAGAAGAAAATAAATAATAAAGATGAGAGCAAAAAGTAAAATAAATTGAAATGAACAGAATTTTAAGAATCAATGACATAAAAAGTTGATTTTTTGGTAAGATAAACTAAATTTATAAACCTTTAGCCAGACTAAATAAGAAAAAAAGAGACAAGAAACAAATAATCAGAAATACAAAAGGAGACATTTTTATTAATACTGCATAAATTGAAAGGATCATTAGAGGTTACTATCAGCAACTACATACCAATAAATTTGAAAACCTAGAAAAGTGGATAAATTCCTAGACATATGTAACCTATCAAGATTGAATCTTGATTCAATCCAAAACCTGAAAAGACCAGTAACAAGTAATGATGTCTAAGCCATAATAAAATAGTCTCCCAGCAAAGAATAACCAAAGAATCAATGTCTTCACTGCTGAATTCTACAAAACATTTAAAGAATAAAAAAAATACCAATCCTACTCAGTCTACCCCAAACAAATAGAGGTGAGTGAAGTAATTCCAAAGTCATTCTATGAGGCCCATATTACCCTGATACCAAAAGCAAAGATGCATCAAAAAAACAATACTACAGGCCAATATCCCTGATGAAAACGTATGCAAAAATTTTCAATTAAAAACTAACAAACTGAATTCAATAAGACTTTAAAAAGGTCATTCATCATGACCAAGTGAGATTTATCCATGGGATGCAAGAATGGTTTAAAATATGCAAAACTATCAATGTGATACGTTATAACAACAGAATGAAGGACAAAAAACCACATGATTATCTCAATTGATGCTGAAAAAAAATTGATAAAATTCAACATCCCTTTATAATAAAAACCCTCAAAAATTGAGTATAGAAGGAATATACCTCAGCATAATAAAAGCTATGTACAGCAGAGCTACAGCTAGTATCATACTGAAAAGGGAAAAACTGAAAGCCTTTCCTCGAAGATGTGCAACAAGACAAGGATGACCACTTTTACCACTGTTATTTAACATAGTACTGGAAGTTCTAGCTAGAGAAATCAGACAAGAGAAAGAAATAAAAGGCATCTAAGTTGGAAACAAAGAAGTCAAATTCTCTTTGTTTGCAGATGATATAATCTTATATTTGAAAAAATCTAATGCCTCCATCAAAAAACTATTAGAACTGATTAACAAATTCAGTAAAGTTGTAGGATAGAAAATCAACATACCAAAAATCAGTAGTATGCCAACAGCAAACAATCTGAAAAAGACACCAAGAAAGTTATCTTATTTACAAAAATTACAAATGAAATAAAAAGCCTAGGAGTTAAATTAACCAAGTAAATAAAAGATTTTTACAATGAAAACTATAAAACACTGATAAAAGATATTGAATAGGACAGGAAAAAAATAGAAAAATATTTCACGTTCATGGGTTGGCAGCATCAATATTGTTAAAATGACCATACTACCCAAAGCAATCTACAGTTTCGATGCAATCCCTATCAAAATGCCAATGGCGTTCTTCACAGAGATAGAATAAATAATCCCAAAATGTATATGGAACTGCAGAAGACCCAGAACAGCCAAAGCTATTCTAAGTCAAAAGAACAAAACTGGAGTACTCACATTCCCTGAATCCCGATTTATACTCCAGAGCTATAATAACCAAAACAGGATAGTACTGACATAAAAACAGGCACATACAACAGTGGAACAGAATAGATAATCCAGAAATAAGTCTACACACCTACAGTGAACTAATTTTTGAGAAAGTTGCCAAGACCATTCATTGAGGAATGGACAATTGCTTCCATAAATGGTGCTAGGAAAACTGAATATCCATATGCAGAAAAAGGAAACTAGACCCCTATTTCTTGTCATATCCAACAAACAAATCAAAATAGATTAAAGACAAACTTAAGACCCCAAAATATGAAACTACTAAAAGAAAACTTTGAGAAGACACTCCAAGACAATGAACTGTGCACAGATTTCTTGAGTAGTACCCCATAAACACAGGCAACGAAGGCAAAAATGAACAACTGAGACTACATCAAGTTCAAACTCTCCTGAACAGTGAATGAAGCAATCACAAAAGTAAAGAGACAACCCACAGAATGGAAGAAAAAATTTGCTAACTATCATCAGTCTGATATGGATTAATAACCAGAATATATAAGGAATTCAAACAATGCAATGGGAAAAAATCTAATAATCTAATTAAAAAAGGGCAAAATATCTGAATAGATGTTTCTCCACAGAGGACATACAAATAGCAAGCAGGTGTCTGAAAAGGTGCTCAACAGAATTATTAATCAGAGAAATGCAAATCGGAACTACAATGAAATATCATCTCACACCAGTTTAAATGGCTTTTATATAAAAGACACACAGTAGCAAACCCTAGTGAGGATGTGGAGAAAATGGACCCCTCGTACACTGTTGGTGGGAACGTAAATTAGTACAACCCCTATGGAGAACAGTTTGGAAGTTCCTCAAAAAGCTATAAAATAGAGCTAGTATATAATGTGGCAATCCCACTGCTATAAATATACCAAAAAGAAAGAATATTAATGCATCAAAAATATGTTTGCACTCTCATGTTTATTGCAGCATGATTCACATTAGCCAAGATTTGAAACAACGTTAAGTGTCCATCACCAGATGAATGGATGAAGAATATGTGGTGCTTATACATAATGGACTACTATTCAGCCATAAAAGAATCAGATCCTGTTATTTGCAACAACATGTGTGCAAATGGAGAGCATCATGTTAATGAAATAAGCCAGGCACAGAAAGACAAAGTTTATATGTTCTTATTTATTTGTTGGAGCTGAAAATTAAAACAACTGAACTCATGGAGACAGAGTAGAATGATGGTCACCAAAGACTAGGAATGATGGGTTGGGGGAGAGGTAAGAATGGTTAATGAGCACAAAATTATAGTTAGATAGATTGTATAAGATCCAGTATTGGCTAGCACAACAGGGTGACTACAGTCAACGATAATTTACTGCACATATTAAAGTAACTGAGAGTATAGTTGGATTGTTTGTAACATAAAGAAAGATAAATCCTTTAGTTGATGGATATCTCGTTTACCCTGATGTCACTATTATGCATTGCATGCTTGTATCATATCATATACCCTATAAATATATATAACTACTATGTAGCCACAAAAATTAAAAGAAAGTTAGAAACATCTAGCAAGACTGACAAAAAGAAATAGCAAAAATTAATAATATAAGGAATGAAATATAATACACCACTACAGACCCTCTAAACATCATGAGGATAAGAAATGAACAACTTTAGACTGTAAATTTGACAACTGAGATAAAATCATCAATTTTCTCTAAGCCTAAAATCTACCACAGTTCACTCAACATAAAATAGATCATTTTAATAGTCCCATATCAATTAAATAAAAATAATTTGTAATTTATAACCCCCCTGCCCCCCATATAAGACATCTTAAGGTCCAGAAGATTCTCCTGGAGAATCCTAGCAAATACTGAATCTGTTATTTCCAATTTTACACAAACTTTCTGAGAAAATAGAAAAGGAAGGATACTTTAAAAATTATCACTTTCTTCTTTAATTTTGATAAATGATATCTCATTGTGGTTTAACTTTTATGTATTAGTGGATAATGTTGAAATATCACTACACACCTATTCGAACAGCTAAACTTTTTAAAGAAACTAGTAATAATAACAAATGCTGGTGCAAATTCAGGGAAATTAGATAAATAATATACTACTTTTTAGGACGTAAAATGCTATAGTCATTCTGAAAATTGTTTTGCAGATTTTTAAAAATAAAACTAAACATGCAATTACACTAAGAATCAGTAATCTTCGGCATTTACTCCCCCAAGAAATGAAAGTTTATGATCCCCAAAATATATATAGATGGATTTCACAGTAGTTTTATTTTTAATTACTCTGTACTGGAAACAAACAAAATGTTTCTCAAGTGGAAAATGGTTAATCTGTGAAACATCTATGAAATACTATTAGCAATAAAATGGAAGCAATTATTGATATATACAAAAACACAAAAATGGCTTTACCTCAAAGGGCATTTTGCTGAGTATAAAGCAACTATCAAAAAGTCACCTACTCTATGATTCCATTTATATAACATTTTAAAAATAACAAATGTATAAGGATGGAGACTAGATTAGGGATTGATATGGTTTAGGGATGGTGATGGGGGAGGTAGATAAGTGTGACTATAAAGGGGTAGCGCAATGAAAGTCTTTGGTGTGATGAAATAATTATTTTGCAATATTCACTATGGTGGTGGTTACATAAATCGATACACACACACTTTGCACCAAAGTTTATTTCCTGGTTTTGATATTGTATTATAGTTATGTAAGATATAATAATTGGTGGGAATTGGATGAATGATACCTATCTGTACTATTTTGGCAACTTCCTCTGAATCTATAATTATTTTAAAATAAAAGCTTAGAAAACAGGTAAAGAGGAAGAACAGATCACCTACAAATAACTATAAAACTAAAGGCAGACTTAAACAGTGGCAATCAAGACAACAACAAAAAACATGCAGCAACCATTTCAAAATAATAAGAATAAATGTTCACTGAGAGACCTATAGCAGAATAGATGATCTTCAAGAAAGTAGAATAAAGATCAAGTTATATTGACAAATACTAAAAGTGTTTGCTACAAACAAATCTTCACTAAAGAAACTTCTAAGTGATATAATTCAAGTAAGAAATGACCTCACAAAGAAGAGCTGAGATGTTAAAAGCCATGGTGAATAAAGAGATAGGTAAACATAAACATTGTAGGTGTAAGTGCAAAATAACTACAATTTGTTATTGGGGTGAAAAACATTGTGTAGCAATAGCATACAAGTCAAGCAGAATTGTTCTGAATTCAAGTGTTCTGGAGTCTTTCTATGAAAAAAGAATTGATATAATTCTAACAGAAATCCCAACAGTGTGTTTTGGAGGAATTTGACCAATGGTTTCAAGTAGTGATGCTCAGACTACCACACATATAAGGAAATTTGAGAAGAGGTAGGGATGGCATTATAGATTATCAGAGATAAGGAAACACTTAATAAAATGTGTTGATATATTTTCATATTTAAAAAATAAAATTAGATTCTTATATGCCTTACAGAAAAATCAGCCCCCAATGGGTTAAAAACTAAAATATGAAAGGCAAACATATAAAACTTTTAAGAAACAATATCAGAATATAATTTTATGACATTATGGTAGTGAAAGAATTTTTAATCCCTCAATATGCCAATCATATGAGAAAAAATGGTAAGTATGGCTACATTTAAATCAAGAAATTCTCTTCCTCAAATTACTCTTTGAATAAATAGAAAAAATAAATACATATTAAACTGGGAGAAGATATTATCTACATATCTAACTGGCAAAACAAAATTTCAAAAATACACAAAGAACTCCCACAAGTCAATAAGAAAAAGTAAACAATTCCACAAGTATGGGCAAAATACATGAACAAACATTCACAGAAATACTGGCACACATAAAAGTTAAAAGATTCTCTACTTGGGAGTCTGAGGCAGAAGGACTACTTGAACCCAGGAAGGTTGGAACTGCAGTGAACTGTGATTGTGCCATTGCATTCCAGCCTGAGCAACAGAATGAGACCGTTTCAAAAAAAAAAAAAAAAAAAAATCAACCTCATTCACATTTAGAGCTATGCGAGCTAAGATGGCAACAACTTCATTCACATTTAGAGATATGCAAACTAAGATGGCAACGAGAAACTTTTTTACCCACTGGATGAAAAATAAGTTTTTCACTAAGAATCTTAGGGCAGATGAGAATATGGGTAAAATGAAAGTGGAACTTATACATTGCTGGCTGGTAAAGTCTCTTCAGGAAACAATTTACCATTATCTCATGGATTTGAAGATACAAAGACAATTTATGAGCCAGACATTCTTTTAATGGGATTATATGCTGGAGTGGTGGTTTTCAAACATGAGCATGCAGCAGTGTCAAATAGAGGGTGTATTAGTCTGTTCTAATGCTGACATGAAGAAATACCCGAGACTGGATAATTTATAAAGGAAAGGGGTTTAACTGACTCACAGTTTTGCAGTGCTGGGGAGGCCTCAGGAATCTTACAAGCGTGACAGAAAAGGAAGCAAACCCGTCCATCTTCACATGGCAGCCGCAAAGAAGTGCCAAGCAAAAGGTGGAAAAGCCCCTTATAAAATCATCAGATCTCGTGAGAACTAACTTACTATCACAAGAACAGGATGGGGAAAACTGCCCCCAGGATTCAATTATCTTCCACTGGGTCCCTCCCATGACACATGGGGATTACAGGAACTACAATTCAAAATGAGATTTGGGTGGGGATACAGCCAAACAATATCAGAGGGCTTGTTAAACACAAATTTCTGGATCTCACCCCTAGAGTATGTGATTCAGAAGGTCAGAGGTGGAACCCCAAATTGTGCATTCATAACAAGCTTCCAGGTGATATTGATGCTGTCTGTTTAGGGACCACACTTTTAGAACCACTGTACTAAAAAAGCATGTTGCACTAATTTACCAAAATAAATATATAAATATCTTCATGGAGACATTGTTTATAAAAGGCAACATTTGGAAACAAGCTTAATATTCACTGACAAAAAAATGGATGAATAATGTCTCCTATATTTCACATGATGAAATATGAAACAGTGGTGAAAATGAATAGCCTTAAATAATGAACAACTTTTTTATTATTCATAACACCATATTTTATGTAAATAAGTTGTAGAAGACAGCATGCAATATAATGCTATTTTTATAATGCTTAAAAATAAGCCAAGATAAACAATACATGATAAAGGTGAGGTATGTGAGATAGGGTGGACACAGTCTCCCTTGACAGAAAACAAAACAAAACAAAATTGTCAAACTGATAAAACAAACCATCCAACAGTACATAGGCCACATGCTGAACCAATGGTTAGAACATCCTGAAGCAAGAAGGTGAAAGAGAGGAAGGGAAAATCCCCAAAGTTTTGCAAGTGCAAAAACCCATGATTAGTGTCCTTGGGCAGACCTATGCTCATTAATAGTAAAAAAACACATCTCTGGGTGAAGATTTAAGATGCTAATGAGACATGGTATGTATGTACTAGCATGTACAATCGCAGCGCATGCACTGCCAGAAAACCACCCATAACATACTTAACAGCAACACCTCTTCCCACCATTTCACGAATAATCAGGTAGGACTCTCATAAAGGGAGTTTCTCCAGTGTCAGTTGTTGCTGTCTCACCTTGGATCAACCCACTCTGATCAGATGTGAGAGTGTACTTTTGCTTTGCAATAAACTCTCTTGCTTACTTTTACTTTGACTCACTTTCAAATTCTTTTGTGCAGTGAACCTGAACTAGGCAACTGGCAACAGGAAGTGGTGATAGTGGCAGGACTGGCAAGAAAATTGAAGCTGGTCACCAGCTAAGGCAAGCCTCACTGGAGGCTCTTCTACCTTCCTTGAATCTATTTTTTCATCCCTTCATAATGCCCTCTTCATATCCTTGCTTAGCTTCAATAGCTGCTAACAACTGTTACTTTTGTACTTTAATCCCTTATTGGTAGGGCAATAAATTTTGTTCTTTGATCTCCTGATTGGCTTCTCGAGTAAGCTCTGACAAATGTATTGTCTTTCAGGACCATATTAGATTACATAAAAACCCCTATCACTACCAAATTAAAGAACCTAATGTTGGAGATTTCAACCTTTTTGTGTCCCTAATTAGATGCCTTTGTCACGTTTTAAAGATAAGTTTGAACAAATAGAAAACGTCTTCGTCAAAATAGGCCATGACTGAATAGAGAAAAAAATAATAATTTTAGTTTCTGATTACTGGAGGCAGAGGAAATAAGTTTTTAAACCTGGCAATTATCCCAGTATAGTGAGTTGTACTACTGTTCGAGTCTTGCAAATAATCTGTGAGAGGGGAAAATAGGACATTAAAAGATCATGGTATCATAAGGATATGCAGTCAAGGGCAATACACCTTGGAATTGGCCCCCTCTTTATGGGTGTATTAGTCCGTTTTCATGCTGTGGATAAAGACATACCTGAGACTGGGAAGAAAAAGAGGTTTAATGGACTTACAGTTCCACATGGCTGGGGAGGCCTCACAATCAAGGCAGAAGGCAAGGAGAAGCAAGTCACATCTTACATGGATGGTGGCAGGCAAAAAGAGAGAGCTTGTGCAGGGGAACTCCCATTTCAAAACCATCAGCTCTCATGACACTTATTCACTATCATGAGAACAGCACAGGAAAGACTCGCCACCGTGATTCAATTGTCTCCCACTGGTCCCTCCAATAACGTGGGAATTACAGGAGCTACAAGATGAGATTTGGGTGAATATACAGAGCCAAACCATATCGTTCCATGCCTGGCCCCTCCCAAATCTCATGTCTTCATATTTCAAAACCAATCCTGCCTTCCCAACAGTCCCCAAGTCTTAAACCATTCCAGCATTAACTCAAAAGTTCATGGTCCAAAGTCTCATCTGAGACAAGGCAACTCCCTTCCACCTATGAGCCTGTAAAATCAAAAGCAAGTTAGTTCCTTCCTAGATACAATGAGGGTACAGACATTGAGTAAATACAGCCATTACAAATGGGAGAGATTGGCCAAAACAAAGGGGCTACAGGCTTCATGCAATTCCAAAATCCAGTGGGGCAGTCAAATCTTAAAGCTCCAAAATAATCTCCTTTTACTTCAGGTCTTGCATCCGGGTCATGCTGATGCAAGAGGTGTGTTCCCATGGTCTTGGGCAGCTCTGCTCTTCTGGCTTTGCAGGGTAGAGGCTCCCTTCCAGCTGCCTTCACAGGATGGGATTGAGTGACTGCAGCTTTTCTAGGCACATGGTGAAAACTGTTAGTGGATCTACCATTTTGGGGTCTGGAAGACAATGACCCTCTTCTCACAGCTTCACTAGGTGGTCCCCCAGTAGGGATTCTGTGTGGGGGCATTGACCCCACATTTCCCTTCCACACTGCCCTAGCAGAGTTTCTCCATATGGGCACAGCCCCTGCAGCAAACTTCTACCTGGGCATCCAGGCGTTTCCATACATCTTCAGAAATCTAGGCGGAGGTTGCCAAACCCCAATTCTTGACTTCTGTGCACTTGAAGGCTCAACACCATGTGTAAGCTGCCAAGGCTTAGGGCTTCCACCCTCTGAAGCAACAGTCCAAGCTGTACCTTGGTATCTTTTAATCATGGTTGGAGAAGCTGGGACACAGGGAACCAAGTCCCTAGACTGCACACAGCATGGGGACCCTAGGCCGGGCCTATGAAAACACTTTTTCCTCCGGAGCTTCCATGCCTGTGACAGGCTGCCGTGAACACCTTTGACATAACCTGGAGACATTTTCCCTATTGTCTTAATGATTAACATTCAGCTCCTCATTGCTTATGCAAATTTATGCAGCCAGCTTGAATTTCTCCTCAGAAAATGGGATTTTCTTTTCTACTGCATTGTCAGGCTGCAAATTTTCTGAACTTTTATGCTTTGCTTCCCTTATAAAACTGAATGCTTTTAACAGCACCTGAGTCCTCTTGAACGTTTCGCTGCTTAGAAATTTCTTCTGCCAGATACCTTAAATCATCTCTCTCAAATTTGAAGTTCCACAAATATCTAGGGCAGAGGAAAAATGCCACCAGCCTCTTTGCTAAAACATAAGAAGAGTCACTTTTGCTCAAGTTCCCAATGAGTTCCTCATATTCATCTGAGACCATCTCAACCTGGACTTTATTGTCCATACCACTATCAGCATTTTGGGCAAACGCATTTAACAAGCCTCTAGGGGGTTCCAAACTTTTGCACATTTTCCTGTCTTCTTCTGAGCCCTCCAAACTGTTCCAACCTCTACCTGTTACCCAGTTCCAAAGTTGCTTCCAGATTTTCAGGTATCTTTTCAGCAGCACCCCACTCTACTGGTACCAGTTTACTGTATTAGTTTTCACGCTGCAGATAAAGACATAGCTGAGACTGGGAAGAAAAAGAGGTTTAATGGACTTACAGTTTCACATGGCTGGGGAGTCCTCACAATCATGGCAGAAGGCAAGAAGAAGCAAGTCACTTCTTACATAGATGGTGGTAGGCAAAAAGAGATTGTGCAGGGAAACTCCCATTTTTTAAACCCTCAGATATCATGAGACTTATTCACTATCACAAAGACAGCATGGGAAAGACCCACCCTCATGATTCAATTATCTCTCACCTAGTTCCTACCATAACATCTGGAAATTATGGGAACTACAAGATGAGATTTGTGTGGGGACACAGAGCCAAACCATATCAATGTGGCATCAAGTATACAAGAGTAAACTGTCAAAACCTCATCAGAAAGGGAAGTTCCATAGCTTAGATGATGAGGATTAATTTATACATTTGACCACTGAATGGTCCCTCACTCAGGAATGGAGGAAACAAATAAAGATACTGTTAGCCGATCATGGAGGTATGTTTGACACCACAGATGCCTGGATCTAGAGAAGCACAAGAGACAGCAGGGGATATCCATACTAGAGTCTTGATGCTCTAGCCCTTTGGAGATGATTATGGATGGGACATTTAAATCATGTACTAGCATCTTGCTCAAGAAAAAAGGAAATGAATTAGAGCCACACCCAGTAACTAGTCTTTCTGTCTTTCTTTTGTTTTCATGGTGTAAGACAGTCCAATAACAACCACCAGGATAGGAAAACAGAACTCTATCCTTGATAACTCCCCTCTAGGATATATTCACCAGAATTGGGCTTATTTTAAATTAAATGAGTTAAAAAGAAACTCATATTTCTTTGCAACACAGCATGGCCGAGAACAATACTATCTTGTAATTATGGTCGGAAATTCCCCAAGGTCTCACGGAAATGTGACATTCCTCCCCCAGTAAAATGGCTCTATATTCAGATAATACTCTTTAAGACCAATGCCGAATATGTTATGCTCATGTTTATAAAAAGGGTTTGGGGAACCTAACATAATTAATGACTCTGTATTAGGAAATGTGCCTCCCACCAACAGCTATCCTTTCTTAAAATCTAGTTCAAGGATTATCTCTAAAACCTCTTATATTTCTCCTAGTGATCTTTCCCCACTAGACTTAACAGTCTTCTACTACCCGCCCCCCGACATGATTTTGTTGTGTCCCCACTCAAATTTCAACTTGAATTGTATCTCCCAGGTTTGGAAACCTCCACCTAGATTTCAGAAGATGTACAGAAATGCCTGGATGCCCAGGTAGAAGTTTGCTGCAGGGGCAGGCCCTCATGGAGAGTCCCTGCTAGAGCAGTGTGGACGGGAAATGTGGGGTTGGAGCCCCCACACAGAGTCCCTACTTGGGCACCATCTAGTGGAGCTGTGAGAAGAGGGCCACCGTCCTCCAGACCCCAGAATAGTAGATCCACTTACAGCTTGCACCATGTGCCTGGAAAAGCCACAGACACTCAATGCCAGCCTGTGACAGCAGCCAGGAAGGGGGCTATGCCCTGAAAAGCCACAGGGGTGGAACTGCTCAAGACTATGGGAACCTTAAAGTGTGACCTGGATGTGAGACTTGCAGCCAAAGGAGATCATTTTGAAGCTTTAAAATTTACTGCCCCACTGTATTTCAGACTGCATAGGCTCTGTAACCCCTTTGTTTTGGCCAATCCCATTTGGAATGGCTGTATTTACCCAATACCTGTACCTCCATTGTATCTAGGTAGTAACTAGCTTGCTTTTTACAGGCTCATAGGCAGAAGGGAGTTGACTTGTCTCAGATGAGACTTTGGACTGTGGACTTTGGGTTAATGCTGACATAAGACTTTGGGGGACTTTTGGGAAGACATGATTGGTTTTGAAATGTGAGAACATGAGATGTGGAGGGGCCAGGGAAGAATAATATGGTTTGGCTGTGTTGCCAGCCAAATCTCAACTTGAATTGTATCTCCCAGAATTCCCCTGTGTTGTGGGAGGAGCCCAGGGGGAGGTAATTGAATCATGGGGCCCAGTCTTTCCCATATTATTCTTTGTGATAGTGAATAAGTCTCATGAGATCTGATCAATTTATGAGGGGTTTACACTTGCTTCTTCCTGATTTTCCTTGCCACCAGCATGCAAGAAGTGCCTTTTGCCTCCCGCCATGATTCTGCAGCCTCTCCAGCCATGTGGAACTTTAGGTCCAATTAAACCTCTTCTTCCTGCCAGTCTCAGGTATGTCTTTATGAGCACCATGAAAACAGACTAATTCACCCTCCATATCAACCTGTCTGTTTTCCACTTCGTGAGGAGCACAATCTTATTGGGACAACTTGAAGTGAAGCATCATATCACCCACTTGAAATGAAAGACAGACTATACTTTTCCTCAGGGAAGTAGCAAATAAAGAGGCGAGATAATTCAAATCCACCTCCCTTTCACATTTCAAATTTATCTCAATGCAAACAAAGGCTAAGACAATTCTCTGAGGACCCCCCAAGGTATATGGAGGAATTCCAGGCCTTGTCTATGTCTTTTCAAATGACCTGGGGAAACATAGCCATGGTCTTATAAAATTACAAAAGCTGACCATGGGTACCCATATCCCCACATATAACCTGCTAAATGTAGCTTTTGTAACTGAGACAGGGCAAAAGAGGCACATAGGAACCAAAGAAAGGCAGAGAGAGACTAAAGAGAGGGTCAATTTTGGGCCCTTGCTATGGGAGAAAAACTCCCACCTCCAGCTCATCCTGGGAGAAACCCCAAGGGCCTTGCTGTACCTGTGGAAAGTCAAGACACTGGAGTCTAGAATGCCAAGTGAGTAACAAGGGCCTACAGGCTTGCAATCCCTCTGGGTCCCGTCATCAATGTGGCAAAAAAAAAAGGGCAATGGAGAAAGGTCTGTCCCCAACTCTGAGGGGAGGATGGGACTCCTAATGCCTTGCTGCCCCCGGCGAAAGACTGAAGGGGCCCAAGGCAGACAATGGCTCTGATGAGGCAATCAGTCCCAATCATAGCAACAGAGTCTTAGTTAAATCTGGATGTGTCAGGTAAATATATTGATTTCCTTGTAGACACAGGGTCTGGACTGCCAGTTCTCACTTTCTATCCTGGATCCCTATCTGCCAAATGCTGCATTATCATTGGTGTTGATGGCAAATGGCAGACTAGGATTTTTCACTCTACCCCTAAGTTGTAAATTTAGGGCTAGTACAAAAGGCACTTCAAGGGTATGGGAACCAAGCTCTCCCAGCATCAAACTCTGAGGGGGAAATATTCCCTCAGAGTAAAAGCAGAAAGCATCCTCTATCAAGTAAAAGCAAAAAAACAAAAACAAAAACAAAACAAAAACAAAAACCAAAAAAACAAAGAAAAACAAAACAAACAAACAAAAAACACATGGTCTGTCTTAAGACATAAAAGAAGAGTTCCTCAAGTAATCCATTTCAACCTAAATTAAGTAGTATATATCAGGTGCTCCTGAGTAAAACAACTGCAGTAAAACTTAGAGGTATGGGACCTTGGGTGCACTTATCAAGAACAAAGAAATTGTTCCATTTGAGTCTTCACAGAAACCCTTGATGCAGACTCCAAGCTATTTATATGAAGCACTGGAGGATTTAAAGCTTCCAGGCAACCAGGACGGAAAGCATCAGAGTTAAACAGCCTTCTTTGTTCTTTATCTGTGAATCTTTTATTTTGGTACAATTATGTTACACTTTGTTTTGCTCATAGTTTTTCCCACAAGAAAACTGGGTGGAATAGGCCAGCCCAGATGGGAAAGAAACACTTTGCTCAATATATTGTGTCACTATTAATCTTTGGGACTTACTTGCTTAACCCCCTTGTAAACTTTGTGTCTTTTAGGTTGCAACAGTTACACATCAAAATGATGGTTATGCAGGAACTCCAGCCTATCGTATTGGAGGATATGACCAATAATGTTTAAATCAGATAGAGACTTTCAGGCCCTGGTTCAGCAGGGACGCTGCTGTCTCTCAGCATGAAGCTGCTCTAGAAGAAGTGACCTAGCCCTTCAAAAACCCATAAGAATATGGACGCAAAGACTCTGAAAGAGAAAATAAAGTAGATTAGATAGGGTGGTCATAGGCTTCCTAGACAGGAAACAAAAGAACTTGTCAAATGGATGGAAAGAACAAACTATCCAAACAATGCACAGATCATATCCTGAGCTCATGGTTAGAACATACTTCAGCAAGAAAGTAAAAGAGCAGAAGGGAAAATCCCCCAATTTGCAAAAGTGAAAAACCCACTATTAGTGTCCTTGAGTTGACTTACACTCATTATAAAGTAAAAGACACACCGCTGGGGGCAGATTTAAGATATTAATGAGACATACAATGTATTGTATTGTATGCATTATATGTCTCGTTAGCATCTTAAATCTTGCACATGTGGCTTACAGAAAATAACCCATAACATACATGAGAGCAACACCCCTTTCCACCCCTTCATGAATAATTATGTAAGACTCCCATAAAGCCAGTTTCTCCAGTGTCAGTTGGTGCTGTTTCACCTGTGAGCAGACTACTCTGATCAGCTGTCAGAGTGTACTTTTGCTTTGCAATAAAGTATCTTGTTTACTTTTGCTTTAGACTCGCTCTCAAGTTTTTTTGTGTGGTGAAGTCAAGAACCTGAATGGGCCCACCAGCAACAATGGGACATATACATGTATAATAAAGTGTATTAAAAGGGTAGAGATAATAAATGCAAGATTGATGGCAGTGGTTATAGCCTGGCAGTGAATGTGGAGGGTAGATGCAAGACAATGGAATAGGAAAAGAGCATACAGATAGATGCAACAATATTGGTAATGTCTTAGTCGTTTTATTGGTTGGTGGATTGGGAGGTGTTTGTAAAATTATTATTCTTTACAGTGTATATATATTTTGTTCAAATCAGGTATTACATAAAAAAATTTAAAAATTATTAGAGGCTACAAACAAGTATTTTCCTGGCCCCCAAGCTGAACCACCAAATGCAACTAAAAGGTAGATTCTTCATTGCTTTACCAAATAATGTTGAAAGGCAAATTCTGCTTCAGTTTTGGTCAGTTTGATTCATGTTGTGTACATACTTTTTGCCTGAAGCCACAGAAATTATCCAGTCATATTTATTGAATGTGTAATTTCTTCTAAAATGATAAAATTGCATTTTGTTCATCCAATATTTTTCTTATATACTGTGGTGATATGAAACAGAAAAACTATTAAACATGTTAGTTCTCCCAATTTGAAAGTCCTATATTGAGCAAATGGAGAACAATATGTGAATTTCATAAGCCCAAACCCTTTTGGCATATGTGTTAGTTCTAGCAAAGCCTATTTTATTGTGGCTATTATAATAGTTTAGAGGTAAGAGAGGGCAGTAAATAACAGCCCAGTTGGGGTGCCTGTACAACTTTCCAGATTTAGAGGTTATGGTGTTAGCAAAAAACAACTTAGGGATAATGCAGTCAAGATAATCAAATATTGCATGGCTATATTTTTGTTATTTCTCCCAGATCCTGGGGTATTAATAGCATGTTGTCTTAGTTTTGAATGTGTAAAAATAAAAATTATGAACAAGAAAAGACAGATATAATTCTAAGGACAATCTGATTTTTTTCGCTTATGCATGCTTTTGAAGACATTGCAATTTATTGATTTTAAAAAGCAGCATTAAAGTGGAACCTATAAACCAAATCCTAGAAATTTAGAATATTCAAAATACATTCTGCTCAAAAATGTTAAAAGAAAGTATCTTAAACCTTTTCTGAAATCTTGAATTTTAAAAGAAATATTGTAAAGTTTTGTAAGATGTTATAAAAAGTATGGGTATTAGAAAATTGGAATCTATCTTTAAAGTAAAGATAAAAAACATGGAAGCCAAAAATTAAGGAAAACAGACAATGAGCTTAAACATGTAATAGCTCTGTATTCTAAAACATCACATTAATTGAATTGCATCATAATTTAGAATTTTGCAGAGTATTTTAAAATCTTTAAAATCTGACTTAAGTAGGGAAAATAAGACTCTTGGTTTAAGGAGTTTGTCTGAGAAAGTAATGAAAAAAAGTGATAAAAGTAATGGCAGTGTTGTTTTCAAGATGAAGTGAAAAATAGTACACATAAGTGTTTCCTCTAAAATGGGGAGAAAGAAAGAAACTGGGTGAGGGTTTTTCTGATGGGAAAGGTAATATAAGATACAAAGTAGTATAGAAGATATAATCACAATTTTAATATATTAAGAAGATGCTTTATAAATATATAGCCTTTTCTCCACCAAAAAAATTATGACTTTACAATTAATGTAAGGCAAAGTATGTATACATACATATATATTACGTACACACGATAAGAAACTAAAGCAGAAACTGAGAAAATGAACAAACAAAGTCAATGAATATTGGAGCTGTCATATATGGATGTAAGAAGCACCAAAGGAATGCTTCAACTAGAAAAATAGCGAAAAAATCTCAGAGAAGAGTTAGCTTAGGGAATAGTGTACTTGATGTTGCAATGACTTTTGAGGCTTTTTACTAGGTGTTGTAGGTGTTGACAAAAACATTTCTGTTCTTTAACTTCAGCCACAATGAAAAACACTGTGAAATATGACTGGCTTTAGGTGTCTTCAGGTCTTATAATTTGCCCAAATGGCCCCAAATTTTCTGTTTCTAGGATCTCCCCTTATCCAGCTCCAGAGAAATCAATGCCATAAGAGAATGAGGCAGTGTTCCTTATTCAGAGATACCTAAGTTGCCCTAGGACACATAAGACTAAGCCTAGCTTAACACTCAGAAAGCAGAACAGAAGGTCTTGGATATATCCTCAAAATCTGCTATCTAAATGAAGTTTATAACTCATTCAACACAGATCTCTCAGCCCCTAGAACAGTAGTCCCCAACCATTTTGGCCCCAGGGACTGGTTTTGTGGAAGACAATTTTTCCACAGGCAGGTGGTCTGGGGGTGAGGGGTGGGGAGGGATTCAGGATGATTCAAGTGAATTACATTTATTGTGCTCTTTATTTCTTTATTATTACATTGTAATAATAATGAAATAATTATACAACTCACCATAACACAGAATAAGTGAGAGCCCTGAGCTTGTTTTCTTGCAACTACATGGTCCCACCTGGGGGTGATGGGAGACACTGACAGATCATCAGGCAAAGGAGTGTGCAACCTAGCTCCCTCACATGAGCAGTTCAAAATAGGGTTCATGCTCCTATGAGAATATAATGCTGCCACTGATCTGACAGCAGGCAGAGTACAAGTAGTAAGTCCAGTAATGGGGAGTAGCTGTAAATACAAATGAAGCTTTGCTTCTTTGCCTGCCGCCTACCTCCTGCTCTGCAGCCCAGTCCCTAACAGGCCAGATACCGCTACAGATCTGTTGCCTGGGGATTCGGGACCCCTGCACTAAAAGACCCCTGTTGCATACTTAATAGTGAATAATGTAGCATGAGTGACTTTGTCTCACTTCCAAAGATTTTATTTCGGATATTGTTAAAGAAACACAAGCAAGATTTACGTCTAAAGATCTTCAACTTAACAGAATCCACAGCATCTCCACAGCAAGGGCTCCTCAGCTGATTTTCACCACTCCTACAACTTTTCGTACCACCACCAAGAAAATCAGTGGTTTTATCTGCAAAACCATGCCCATGGGTCCACAGCCATTCCCACCTATGATAGCTGTAATTACCCTAACACTCACTATTTTTTTCTCTGCCAGTTTACTCAATCAACCTTTAAATAATACATATTATTTTATGTCTGATATTTCAGCAGTGCATACTTTTCACCTTTATTATGTAAGAAAATGCTCCCCATAAAAGACATGTCCCGATTTAGACATCTTCAATACCACAGGTGCTGTTATTAGATGTCTGGTGGGCCATCACCATATCAGTCAGGCTTAATCCAACTTGCCTAGGCTCAGTTTGTCATTCTGGAATAATCTTGATTAAAATCAAATACAAATAGTTACACCAAACCTACTACTGTGCTTCTCTGGATTCTGACCACATAGTAAAACTTGTTTGTATTGTTTTCCTTTGAATTTCATCCCTTCCCTAAAACCCACAAGAGAAATTTCCCTTCTCCACACACTATCACTCTTTTCCCTCCTTTCCATGTAAATTGTTCATGACAAAATATATTCACATATGTCCATTACTTTCCATGGATATCAACAAAACATAATTTTCTAAGGAACGACATAGTTTAGTAGTTAATATTTTAAGTGCTACAGCAAGACTTCCTGAGTTCAAAGTTTGAGTCTAAAGCTACTTAACTGGTTTAATCTTCAATCTCCTTACATGTAACATGTAATATAATAGTATTATGTACATACGTGAATATAATAATTTGATGTACATCATAGGATTGTTGTGAGGGTAAAATAATATAGACCATATAACATGGTTAGCGTAATGTCTGGCACAGTATTAGCTCTCAAATTTTAACTGTAGTTATTGTTATCAATATCTACAGTATCACCTTCATTATAATCATTATTAAACCTTCTGGAGCTTCTGATCCTCCAGTCTCCCTCTCACTCTCTGCCTATTTGAGAAGGATTATTCTCATGGTTTGCTTTAAATTTGTATTACCAATGTCAACATTTAAAATAAATTGCATATATATATATACACACACACACATATATATATATACACACATATATATACACACACACACACACATAAATACATTTGAGGCTAGCTTTACTATAGATATTGCAAATAAAGTGAGGCTTTTAATAGAACTAACTTATAGGAAAGATGGTCGAGTTTGGAATCAGACCAAATCAGAGCAAATTTATTTTAAAGCCTGGGTCTATTACCTCTTACTGTGAAGATGGACAATTTTCTCAACATTTTTCTGCTTTCGGTTTCTGTAAATTAAAACTTTACAAGGTTGGTTCAAGGATGAAGAGGGTAACACATGTAAACTACTTTGCATAATAGTAAACACTAAATAGTTGTGTTTCTGCCTTTTGTATATAAAAGGGTATACAAATTATACTAAATTATAAAAGAGTACAATTTATACTCCTTTGAGTATAAATTATGCTTTAAATATCCTAACTGTGCCTTAAACAGGCCAAGTAATGAAGAAGTTTATAGCACTGTTTGGCTGATTGTTGATTAAATCATATTTCATGTGAGTAACCACATTCCATATAAATCTGGCTCTTTCTCCAAATTACCTCTACTAGTTGCTCTCTGAAGTTTTATATCCACAAGTGTACTTGGTTACTTTAAGACAAAAGGAGCTTGTTTGGCAGTAGTATCTGAGACAGTATGAATAACCCCATTCACCTGTTGACTTTCAACTCCATTCTCAGTCTTTATTCTTCCTTGAGTCACAGGAGTCTAGAAACCAGAAAACGAAATCCTATACACGCTTGAAAGCCGTTTTTCAGTTAGAGTCCATAAATGGGTAGCACTGGCAGTGAATTTGAAGGCTAGAGAAAAACAGTTTCATAATTTTCCCGTTCTTCTGTTAATATTTTGTGGTAGCATTAGCAATTAATGACTGAAGGACTGCATATATATTAGAACGCTGGGTTTCTAGCAGTACTGGTGGTAATTTCAGCAGCATCTGCAGCAGGGCAATCTCAGCAATAGTGCAGTTTCAGTAGAAGCAATGGCACTTGTAGCACCACCAGAAGATCAACAGCAATGTGGGCTGATGGGTATGAGCCTATGGGTTGTAGTTGCTTCTTAATCTCTAGGTAATATCTCCTCTTACTGGTTTCTCAAGCACATCGTTTTCCTCCTCTATCCATTTCAACTATTTTGTAATCAATTTCTGGCACAAAGCCCTCTCTGTTTAAAAAATCTAGAGTAGTTTTCTTTCCTAATTGAACAATGACTAATATACCTCCCTTAACAATTAAATTATAAAACATTAATAAATACAACTTTGTACTCTAGAGATGTTATTTATACGACTATATTTAAGCTGGATATGTACTGATAAATTACAATGTTCAAGATATAATGCAGGCAAGGGAGACAGTGTTTAAATATTAATAGGCTGCATTAAAATAAACTATACAACTTATAAATAATTTTAATAAATGTAGAATATGGTAAATCAATGAAAAAAGATAACGTTGAAGAGTTACAAGTTTCCAGAAGATCACCTATTTGTATTAGGAAATAAAGACTTCATGAACCATGTTTACAATACAGATAAAAAAACTAAAGGAAGTGGCCAGGTAGGCTATGGGAAAGAGCACTTACTTGGGAATGATAACCCTGCCATATTGTATGTGTGGACCTCTGGGTAATACATTTTTACATTTTTAGCCTCAGTTTTCTCTTCAACACACTCTCTGAATTACTCTCACCAGGATGCATGGGGGTGGTGGGGAGGAGGATGATGCCAGAATCTATTTCAGAGGATGCCATGTATAATTTGGACAGGACATCTAGGGAAATATATATATTCTCTATCCATTCCCCACTTCCCTGCAGCCATTTAAGAATGAATGTTAGATTTCTAACATTTATTCCTGTATTGAAATTCTAAAAGTGTACGAAAACATGTTAGCAATGATTACAAAATGCATGATATACATATATATGTGTCTTAGAATCACAAATATGTAAAAGATTCTTATTAAAACTAGTAAGAATAAAAACAGTAAGACATGTGAAATTATTCCTACTCTTGTCCTCAAAATTTGTTGAGAGATAATATCTGCTAAAATTCATAAGCTACTTATAGCAAACTCTATAGTATATTTACATTACGTGTATTTTTTACAGGTAGAAGGAAAGCAGGCATAAATTCTACCTAAAGTTTATCATTGGTGGCTAATTTCATTCAATTATGGATATTGGGATGACAGGTAACAGAATGTTCAAAGTAGATTTATGTACATTATTCTTGTATTTCAAACTCTATTGCAAAGTTCTTGAAGACAGAGACCCTGACTAATACTTCTACATAACCTCCGTTGTGATGGGATAATGTGTCAAGCATAATAGTGTCAACACGTAATAGTGTGTCAAGCATAAAAGCATAATAAAGTAAACCAATATTTATTCTATCTATGTTACATGACATGGGAACATTTCATTGCAGAATTTGTAGAAACTCAGATACTATTAAATCTAAATTTCTAGGATCCTGAGGTGGTAAAGTGGAAAAAAAATAATTATCAAGCCGGCACTCAAGACAAGCACTTTACTGCATAAACTAATGTAATCCTCATGGTAGCCCAGTAAGGTATGAATGTTGGTCCCCAAATACAAATGAAAAAAATAAGTTTAGAGAATTAATTTTCCTGGGTCATCCAGGAAAAATTATCCTAGGATGATTGAATAACAAATATGTGGTATATATACACAATGGAATATCTCTCAGTCTTTAAAAAGTAGAAAATCTTTTCATATGAGAACACATGAATAAATCTTTAGGACATTAAGCTAAGTGTAACAATCCAGTCACATAATTAAAAATACTGCATAATTCCACTTATATGAGGTATCTAAAATAGTCAAACTCAGAGAAACAGAGTATAGGATGGTAGTACCAAGAGCTGGTGAAAGGGGAAATAGGGACTTGCTTTTCAAGGGGTATAAAGTTTAAATTATAAAGCATGAATAAATTCTAGAGATCTGCTGCATAACATTGTACCTATAGTAGACAATATTTGTATAATTTAATAAGTTTGTTACAAGGGTAGATCTCAAGTTAGTGTTTTTGCCACAATAAATTTGCTAAATGCTGATAACATACTAAATAAATAAAATTATAGATTTAAGATAATTTTCCCTCAGTAATTTTAAGGCAATACTTCATTACCTTCTAATAGCAGGATTTCTACTGAGAAGTCTGATTTCACTGTTTCCTTATTTATGACCTTATCCACGACCTTTTCTCCATAGCTTTTAGAATTCTTTACCTTCAGTATTTACGATGATTTTATTTTGTTTCATTTTTCCTTTTACACAAAAGGTTATTTCCAAAATTCTAATAACGTTTGGTTATTTATTCAAAATTAAGAGAGCCACTGTGTTAGTCCGTTCTTATGCTGCTAATAAAGACATCCCCAAGATTGGGTAATTTATAAAGAAAGAGGTTTAATTGACTCACAGTTCAGCATGTCTGGCTGGGGGCTCTGGAAACTTACAATCATGTTAGATGGGGAAGCAAACACGTCCTTCTTCACGGGGTGGCAGGACGGGAAGTGACAAGAAAAACGGGAAAAAACCCCTTATAAAACCATCAGATCTCGTGAGATTTCACTCACTAACATGAGAACAGCATAAAAGCAACTGCCCCAATGATTAAATTACCTCCCACCAGGTCCCTCCCACAACACTTGGGAATTATGGGATCTATAATTCCAGATGAGATTTGGGTGGGCACACAGACAAACCATATCAGACACTAAAAGGTGAACACTGAGGGATGGTTGAGTCTAATATTCTAGATTCTTCTGGCAGAATAGTCATTTTGTTAGGCAGCTCTTATTTATCATTGTATTTGTGTATTTTAGGCTGGTCAGTGGAAACCATGAAGAACTGTACAATGTTGCCTACAGATGTAAACCTAAATTCCAGTGATCTAAGAAACCAAAATAGAAAGAAATTCTGAGTTCTCCCTGATCAAGGACCCTAGAATTGAAAGAGGTTGTGAGTTCTCTCCGTTCTTCAGCAGATTTTTTACTCGATCTGTCTTTTTAAGTTTTTCCCTCTCATTTATAGAATTTGATGATCTTTTTGGTTTTCAGATCCATTCCCATTCATATTCGTATAAATACAGTTTGCCTCTAATTAATTAGCCTTTCAGGAATTACACCATGTAGATTGAGTTAATTTTTTTTTTCTCTCATCCGTCATCAGGGACATTTAATCTTCAGCTTTTTTGTATCTGACAATTAAGTTATCACTTATTTATCAACTTTGAACTTAAAATTATTTGACAATTCTGATCTTCTGTCTTCTTCTCTCAATATTATTTGATATATGGCTTAAAAATGCCTTAATAAGCATGTGAATGGAATGTCATGATATATCACAGATAAATGTGTACGCATAGTTTACCACATTTAACCAGAAATCTAAATGATGTATTTATAATCACCTTTCTAGGGGGTATTGATCTGTTTGTTTTCTTTTTTAAAAAATTTTTATAGGTACACATTAGATGGATATATTATGGGGTACTCTTTGTTTTCTATTTCTTCTTGTATCTGCTTTTATAATTTATGCTTTATTATGTTGCCATCAATTTATTCTAAAATTTCAAATCAATTACTATAGAGATGTTCATAATAGACTGTTGTGGTTTTTATTTCCTTTCCATATCAAATATCATATTTTTTGTTTCTTTTTAAAAATCAGACCTTTAAGATTTACTTATTGTATTACTCATCTTAAATAATTAGTTTTCAGTTTCACATATTTTTTTTCACTCTTCTCTCTTCTGATATTAAATTTAACTTTATGTTTAAATCCCTGTTTCTACTTTCTTTCTATTTTTTCTGTTTTTGCTTTACAAATTTCTAAAGAGGTGGATACTGAGTCCATTTATTTTGAGGGTTAAAAAAAATAAAACTATTCAAAGCTATAAATTTTCTTTGTAATAGTTGTTTTCCACGAGGATCAGTTTCTTCTTTGATCCAGAAGACTTTATGAGTGTTTGTTAATTTCTAAAAGCTATTTAATTCAAATTACACTGGATCATGATAAGAGAATATGTTACATCTGTCTGTTTTGCTTTGTTTCAGGTGTACTTTGTGGCTAAATATATAAATACTTTCTGTAAATTAAGGACATAAAAACTATAAATATTTGTTTATGGAATATGAAGTTTTCTGCATTTCGGATAGACCTTATTGGTTGTAGATGTTTACTTCTTATTTACTTCTTGGATCCTTAATCTGTTAAGTTCTGAAAAAAGAGAAAAATATTTTTAATACAAATGAAGGGTTTTACATTTTGATACAAAATTGTACATATCACCATTAATCTAACAAATGATATGTTATTTTATTCCTTACATATTATTTCATATTAACTATTGACCATTTTTAAATTCTCTTCCTTTAATTTTTGCTGGTTTGCTCAAGTTTCTAATATTCTCTGGTATGTTGGAAGTTTTGCTATGTAAAGCTTTCTAAAGTTTTTGTTCTATTTTAGGGAATATGTATGTAGATAATGATAAACTCTACATAATTTCAAAAAAGCTTACAAACTGGGGCTAAAAATTTAAAAGTAACCTGTGAAAGATTAGAAATAGAATGTAGAACTTTCAGTAATCTCAGAACTTTGAGAGGCGAGGTGGGTAGATCACTTGAGGCTAGCAGTTAGAGACCAGCCTGCCAAAATGGTGAGATCCTATCTCTACTAAAAATACAAAAAAATTAGCCAGGCTTGGTGGCACGGGACTGTAATCCCAGCTACTTTGGAGGCTGAGGCAGAAGAATTGCTTGAACCCAAGAGGCAGAGGTTGCAGTGAGCCATGATCGTGCCACTGCACCACCAAAAAAAAAAAAAAAAAAAGAATGTACCACTTTCAAAAAAATGAGAGTAGTCAGAAAACATTCTATTAAACAAATGCTTGAAATAAACATAGATATAACATGATAAACAGAAAACCAGAAATATAGAGAGTTAAATACATCCAAATGTATCAAAAATTATAATAAGTTGAACTGACTAAATTTATCTGTTAACTAAGAGAGATTCGAATTTGGTTGAAAAAGAAACCTAATGTACATTTATAAGAGGCAGATTTAGATTTAAAAAGTCCAGGAAACTTGCAAATGAAAGGGGGCAGAAAGTTATTCTTAGAAAAGTCTAAAACAGATAGATAACACAATATATTAGTATATTGTGTTAGTCAATTCTCACATTGCTATAAAGAAATACCTGAGACTGGGTAATTTATAAAGAAAAGAGGTTTAATGCACTCACGGTTCTGCAGGCTGTACAGGAAGTATGGTGGCATCAGCTTTTGAGGAGGCCTCAAGGAACTTCCAATCATCTTGGAAATTGAAGGGAAAATAAAGCACTTCACAAAGCCAGAGAAGGAGGAAAAGAGAGAGAGGAGGGGTGCCACACATTTTTACATGACCAGATCTAACAAGAACTCACTCACTATCGCGACCAAGGGAAACAGTGCTAAACCATTCATGAGAAACTCCTCCCATGATCCAATCACCTCCCACCAGGACCTACCTCCAACACTGGGGATTACAACACGACATGAGATTTGGTGCGGGCACAGATCCAAAGCATATCATATATGACTATATAGAATTTAGAAAGAGAAATTCTAAAATGAAAACACTTTTATTTTAGTAAAAATTATCACTGAAAATACATAATATGTATGCATCTCATGTATCTAACAATATAACTTAAAATCTAAAAAATGTAAAGAACAAATATATATATATATAACTATTATATATGAAATTGTTATCATTAGAGTAATGAAGAAGAAATAGAAAAATCACAATTATTATGGGGAACTTTAATGAAATTTCTTTTTAAAAATTTTTAATCACAACCTCAGTGGGTTTTTAAAAATTATTTTAGATTCAGGAGGCAAATGTGCATGTTTGTTTTTTACATGGAAATACTGTGCAATGGTGAGGCTTGGGCTTGTAGTGTACCCATCACCCAAATAGTGAGCAATGTACTTGATGTGGTTTGGTTCTGTGTCCCCACCAAATCTCATGTTGAATTGTCAATAACAGTGTTGAAGACGTGGCCTGGTGGAAGGTGATTGGATCATAGGGGTGGTCCTTCATAAATGGTTTAGCACCATTCCTTTGGTGCTGTCCTATGATAGTGTTCTCATGAGATCTGGGTGTTGATTTGGGTGTTTAAAAGTGTATGGGTCTTCTCCCTTCTCTCTCTTCCTCCTGCTCTGTTCATGTGAGGTGTTGGTCTTGCTTCGCTTTCTGCCATGATAGTAAGTTTCCTGAGGTCTCCCCAGAAGCAGGCCAGATGCTGCCATGCTTCCTGTACAGCCTGTAAAACTGAGCCGATAAACCTCATTTTTTAAATAAATTACCCAGTCTCAAGTATTTCTTTAAAGCAATGTGAGAATGGACTAATGTAATACCCAGTAAGTACTTTTTTAATACTCACTCCTCCACCATTCTTGCTTGTGTCATCCCAGTGTCTATTATCTTCATTTTAATGTTCATGTGTACCCGTTGTTTAACTTCCACTAATAAGTGAGAACATGTGATATTTGATTTTATTTTTCTGGGTTATTTCACTAAGGATAATGTTCTCCAGCTCCATTGATGTTACTGCAAAAGACATAATTTTATTCTTTTTTATGACTGCATAGATTTCTATGGTGTATATAAACACATATATGTATAAATATATAATATATACCTATATATGTATAATATACACATATGCACATATTTCATATATGTAATATGTATTATACACATATGTTTCTTAACTTTTTAATAAATATATTTTGTATATGTGTAAATTATATATGTATACATACATGTGTATATCTATATAAACACATGTATTCCACAGGGTGTATGTGTGTATATGTGTGTGTGTGCCTGTATATATATACAATGAGTGTATGTATGTGTATATGTATATATATTCACATTTTTCTTTATTTAATTACCTGTTCATGGACACTTAGGTTAATTCTATGAGTTTGCTATTGTGAATGATGCTGCAATAAAAATGCAAGTGCAACTGTTCTTTTTATATAAATATTTATTTTTCTTTGAGTAGACGCTCAGTAGTGGGATTGATTATTGGATTGAGTGGTAGTTCTAGTTCTTTGAGAAATCTCCATATTGTTTTCCAGTGAGGTTGTATTAATTTACATTCTCATCAACAGTGTATGGGCATTCTCTTTTCTCTGAATCCACATTAACATCTGTGGTTTTTTTGACTTTTTAATAATAACTATTCTGATCAGTGTAAGATGATATCTCATCGTGGTATTGACTTGCATTTATCTGATGGCTTGTGATGTGGAGCATTTTTTCATGTTTATTGGCCACTTTTATGTCTTATTTTGGGAAGTGTCTGTTCCTGTCCTTTGCTCACTTTTTAATGTTTTTTTTTCTTATTACATTGTTTGAGTTATTTGTAGATTCTGGATATTCGTTCTTTATCAAAGGCATAATTTGCAAATATTTTCTCCTATTCTGTATGTTGTCAGTTTATAATGTTGAAATTTTCTTTCTGTACAGAAGCTGTTTACAAGTCCCATTTATCTATTTTCACTTTTCTTGCATTTGCTTTTGAGGTCTTAATCATAGCCTCTTTGCCTAGGCGAACACTCAGAAAAGTTTTTCCTAGATTTTCATCTGGAATTTTTATAAGTCTGTGGTCTCACATTTAAGTTTTTAATTGACCTTGAGTTAATTTTTGTATATGGTGAAAGATTGGGGCCCATTTTGATTTTTCTGCATATGGCTAGCCAGTTTTTTCAGAACCATTTATTAAATAGGATGTCCTTTTCACATTACTTTTGTCAAATTTTTCAAAGATCAGTTGATTATAGGTATTTGACTTTTATTTCTGGGTTCTCTATTCTGTTTCATTTATTTAGATGTCTATTTTTGTACCAGTATTATTCTATTTTGGTTACTATAGCCTATATATGATGTCCACTTTCAATCTTCTGCATATCACTAGCCAATTATCCCAGCATCATTTATTGGATAAGGATTCACTTCCCCATTGCTTTTTTGCTCAACTTTGTCAAAGATCATGTAGTTGCAAGTTTACAGCATTATTTATGTGCTCTGTATTCTGTTTCATTGGTCTACATGTCTGTTTTTGTGCCACTGCCATGCTGTTTTGGTTACTGTAGCCTCATAATATGGTTTGAAGTTGAGTAACATGATGCCTCCAGCTTCATTCATTTTGCTTAAAATTGCCTTGGCTATTTAAACTCTTTTTGTTTCTGTATTAAATTTAATTATTTTTTTTTACTAATTCTGTGAAAAATATCATTGGTAGTTTCATATAAATGAATCTGTAAATTGCTTTGGGTAGTATGGTCATTTTAACAATATTGTTTACTCTTGCCAATGAAAATGGAATAAATTTTCATTTGTTTTTATCAACTCCGATTTCTTTGAGCAGTGTTTTGTAATTCTTATCATAGAGATCTTTCACCTCCCTAGTCAGATTTATTGCTGGGTATTTTATTCTTTTTGTGGCTATTGTGAATGGGATTGTTTTCTTGATTTGCCTCTGAGCTTAGACTTTGTTGATGTATAGAAAGGTTACTGATTTTTTTTTTTTTTTTGAAACGGAGTCTCGCTCTGTTGCCCAGGCCGGAGTGCAGTGGCGCAATCTCGGCTCACTGCAAGCTCCGCCTCCCCTCCTGGGTTCACCACATTCTCCTGCCTTAGCCTCCTGAGTAGCTGGGACTACAAGCACCTGCCACCATGCCCGGCTAATTTTTTATGTTTTTAGTAGAGACGGGGTTTCATTATGTTAGCCAGGGTGGTCTCGATCTCCTGACCTCGTGATCTGCCCGTCTTGGCCTCCCAAAGTGCTGGGATTACAGGCATGAGCCACCGCGCCCGGCGGAAAGGTTACTCAGTTTTGTACATTGATTTCATATCCTGAAATTTTTCTGAAGTTGTTTATCAGATGAAGGAACCTTTGGGAAGACACTCTGGAGTTTTCTAAGTATAGAATTATGTTGTCTGCAAACAGAGATAGTTTGACTTCCTCTCTTCCTAGTTAGATACATTTTATTTCTTTCTTTTACTTGATTTCTCTGGGTATACATTCCATTTCTAAGAAAAACAGGAGTAGTGAGAATGGGCCTTTTTTTTTTCTTGTTCCAGTTCTCAAGGGCAGTGCTTGCAGCATTTGTCCATTCAGTATAATATTGACTGTGGGTTTCTCTTAGATGGCTCTTACTATTTTGACATAGATTCCTCCAATACTTCTTTTGTTGAGGACTTTTAACGCAAAGCAATGTTAAATTTTATTGAAAGCCTTTTCTGCATCTATTGATATAATCATGTCATTTTTGTTTCTAGTTTTCTTAATGTGGTGAATTACATTTTTGATATGTACGTTGAAGCAACCTTGCATCCCAGGGATAAAACCTACTTGATTGTGGTGAATTAGCATTTTGATATGCTGCTGGGTTTGGTTTGCTAGTATTCTGCTGAGAATGTTTGCTTCTATGTTCACCAAGGATATTGACCTGAAGTTTGTGTATGTGTATGTATGTCTCTGCCAGATTTTGGTATCAGGATGATGATGGCTTCATAGAATGAGTTACAGATGACTGCTTCTTCCTCAATTTTTTTGCAGTAATTTTAGCAAGAATAGTATCAGCTCCTCTTTATACATGTGGTAGAATTTGACTTTGAATTTGTCTGGTCCTGGACTTTTCCTGGGTGGTAGGTTTTTTATTACTGATTTAATTTCAGTACTCATGATGAGTGTGTTCAGGGATTTAATTTCTTCTTGCTTCAATCTTGGAGGGTTGTACGTTTCCAGGAATTTATCTATTTCCTCTAGATTTTCTAACTTGTGTGCATAGAGGTGTTCATAGTAGTTTATTAGAGTTTTTTTTCCCTCCCTTCACCCTTAGAGTTTTGTTTTGTTTTTGTGTGTGAGCCATTGGTAATGTCCCCTTGGTCATTTCCTGATTGTGTTTATTTGGATCTTTTTTGTTCGTTATTCTTTATTACTCTGCCCAGCAACCTATTATTTTTGTCTTTCAGAGAAACAATTCCTGGATTCGTTGATCTTTTGTATAGTTGCTCACACCTCAGTTTCCTTCAACTCAGCTCTGATTTGGTTATTTTTGACTTCGGCTAGCCTTTAGGTGAGTTCACTCTTGTTTCTTTAGTTCTTCTAGGTGTGATGTTAATTTGTTAATTTGAGATTTTTGTAACTTACTGATTTTGATGGTTAGTGCTATAAACTTCCCTCTTAACACTTCTTAGCTTCATCCCAGAGATTCTACTATGTTGTGTATTTATTAGCATTAGTTTCAAGGAATTACTTGATTTCTGCCTTAATTTCATTATTTACTCAAAAGTAATTCAGGAGCAAGTTTTTTAATTTCCATGTAATTGGTTTTGAGCAATTTTCTTAGTATTGATTTATATTTTTATTGTGCTATGGTCTGAGAGTGTATTTAATATAATTTTAGTATTTTGAATTTGCTGAGGATTTTCTTATATCTGATTGCGTGGTCGATTTTATAGTATGTGCCATGTGCATATGAGAATAATGTACACTTTATTTTCTTTGTTTGTTTGTTTGTTTTTATGGTGGAGAGTTCTCAAGATGTCTGTTTGGCACATTTGGTCCAATGTCTAGTTCAGGACCCAAATATTTTTGTTAGTTTTCTGCCTCGATGACTTGTCTAGTATCATCAGTGGAGTGTTAGTGACACCTACTATTATTGTGTGGTTATCCAAATCTCTTTGTAGCTCTCTAAGAACTTACTCTATGAATCTAGGTGCTCCTGTGATAGGTGCATATATATTTAGGATTCTTAGGTCTTCTTGTTGAATTGAACCCTTTACCTCTATGTCATATTTTTCATTTTACTTTTTTAATCATTCTTGATTTAAAATCTTTTTTTTCCCAGAAATTAGCAACTCCTGCTTTCTTTTGTTTTCCATTTGATTGGTAATTTTTTCTCCATCCCTTCATTTTGAGCCATTACTTTGGGTGCCATTGCATGTAAAATGAGTCTTTTGTTGACATCATACAGTTGGATCTTACTTCTTTTTCCAGCTTGCCACTCTGTGCCTTTTAATTGGGAAATTCAGCCTTCCTACATTCAAGGTTACTATTGATATGTGCAGGTTTGATCCTGTCATTGTGTTGTTAGCTGGTTATTATGCACACTTGATTGTGTGTTTGTATTATCGTGTAAATAATTTATGTATGTAAGTATGTTTTTGTGGTGGCTGGCAATGGTCTATACTGTCTGTATTTAGCTCTTCTTTCATGACTTCTTTTAAGGCAGGTTTGGTGGTAACAGATTCCCTTAGCATTTATTCTCTGAAAAGAATCATTTTTCTCCTATGCTTATGAAGCTTACTTTGCCTGATTATGAAATTCTTTTCTTTAAAAATGTTAAATATAGGCCTCTGTATTAGTCTGTTCTCATGCTGTTAATAAAGACCTACCCAAGACTGGGTGATTTATAAACGAAAGAGTTTTAATGGACTCACAGTTCCCCACGGCTGGGCAGGCCTCACAATCATGGCAGGAGGCAAACAAGAAGCAAAGACATATCTTACATGGCAGCAGGCAAGACAACTTTTGCAGAAAAACCCCCATTTATAAAACCATCACGTGTTGTGAGACTTATTCACTATCATGGGAACAGCATGGGAAATACCTGCCCTCATGATTCAATTACCTGCCACCGGGTCCTTCCCATGATATGTGGGGATTATCACAACTCAAGGTGAGATTTGGGTGAGGGGCATAGCCAAACCATATCAGTCCCCAAACCCTTCAGGCTTGTAAAGTTTTTGCTGAAAGGTCCACTGTTAGCCTGATGGGGTTTCCTTTGCCATTTTCTCTCTAGCTTCCTTTCCTATTTTTTGAATTTTGATTTTGGAGAATCTGATGACTTTGTGTCTTCTTGTGTAATATTTCACAGGGGTTCTCTGTATTTCTTGAATTTGAATATTGACATCTTTAGCAAGATTGGATAAAATTTCTTGGACAATATCCGAAAATGTGTCTTCCGAGTTGCTTGCTTTCTCTTCTTCTCTTTAGGGGATGCAAACATGTCATAGATTTGGTCTCTCCAGAATCCTGTATTTCTCTGAGGTTTTATTCATTCTTCTTTATTGTTTTTCCTTTATTTTTGTCTGACTTACATTTTGGAAAACTGTCCTTCAGACTCTGAAACTCTTTCGTCAGCTTGGTTAATCATGCTGCTAATATTTGCTATTGTATTCTGAAAAATTTTTAACTGAGTGTTTCAACTCTATCAGTTTAGTTTGGTTGTCACTTAAAGTGACCATTTCATCTTTTATATTCTGTATTATTTTATTGTATTTCTTAGATTCCTTGGATTGGGTTTCATCTTTCTCCTGAATGTAGATGATGATTATTTTTACCCATTTTCTCATTTATATTTCTTACACTTTAGACATTTCAGCCTTTTTAAAAGCCATTGCTTGGAAGCTAATTCAGTCGTGTAGAGGTAAGAAAACACTCTGGCTTTTTGGGTTACCAGAGTTCTTGTGCTAGTTATTTATCTTCTTTCTGTGTAGGCTGATGTTTCTCCAGTCTTTGAAATTAATGTTTTTCAAACGGGATTTTAATGCTTTTATCTTATTTGTTGCCCTTATGGGTTTGCATGCATAAGGTGGGTTCAGTTGAATAGCTTCAATACTAATCCACTTCTAGGTCTTAAAGGAGCCTCGTCAAATTACTGTCTCCACAGCTGCATTTTTTTTGTTGTTGTTGTTGGGCATTCTGGTCCTCAGGGCTCCCTCAGGCCAGGGGCTGTAGTTAGCAGACAGGCTGTATCCTTACCTGGTTTTTCTTAATTTGCTGTCTGAGTGCTTTCTGGAAGAACATGAGTTTGCATTTGCCTGCAAGTTCTGGTAGAAGCAGGAATGCTGTGCAGAAATTTTTAGTGCATGTGGCCCATTTGACTATAAGGGGCTGAGGTGGATGAAGTTGCCTGATCTTCCATCAAGATGTCTGGGGGGAAACAGGAAGCTGCACCTCTCAGCAAATTTAGGCAGATGTATGTCTGCTGTGCTGGAAGCTCCAGAAGGTGTGGCTTGCTTATCTCCAAGACACAGAGGTGGGTAGTCCCCCACCATGGCATCTGAGTACTTCTTAGGGAAACAGAAGGCTTTGCCCTCTGGCTAAGTTCAAACAGAAGAAGGAGCGTTGGGCTGGAAGCACTAGCAAGCATTGCCCACCTGGCTACCAGTGGTCAGGGTTTATGGGTTCACTGGCCCTGCCATCGGGGTGCTTCCTGGGACAACAGAAGGCTATATTCTCCAGCTGAGTTCAGGCAGAAGAGGGATCCCTGAGGTGGAAGTCTAACAGGCATTGCCTGCCTAGCTACAAGCAGCAGGGGTGGGCCGGTCACCCATCCTGCCGCCCAGGTACTTCCCAGGAAAATAGGAGGTTGCTCTCCTGGCTGAGTTCAGACAGAAGTGGAACCACTAGGTCAGAAGCTCTAGAAAGAATTGCCTGCCCAGCTACCAGTGGCAAGAGTGGGTTGGTCCACCTGCCCAGTGGTGCAGGTGCTTCCTGGTACCTTTGTATTTATGTGTGCTTTTATGATGATGAATATCGTTCTTTTATTTCCATATGTAGAAGTCCTTTGAGCATTTATTGTAGGTCTTGTCTAGTGGCAACAAATTCCCTTTGCATTTGCTCGCCTGGGAAAGGCTTTATTGCTCCTTCATTTATGAAGCTTAGCTTGATGGGATATAAAATACTTGGCTGGATTTTTTTAAGAGGGTTAAAATTAGGACCTCAATTCCTTCTGTCTTGTAGGGTGTCTGCTAAGAAGTCTACTTTTAGTCTGATGAGATTTCCCTTATAGGTGGTTTAATGCATCTCTCTAGCTGCTTTTAAGGTTTTATTTTTTTTTTCATGTTGACATCAGATAGTCTCATGACTATATGCCTTGCTGATATTCTTGTTGTATGGTACCTTCCAGATAGTCTTTGAATTTCTTGTATCTGGATATCTACATCTCTAGCAAAATCAGAAAAATTTTCCTGAATTATTTCATCAAATATGTTTTCTAAATTTTTTACATTTGCTTCTCTCTCAGTAATGTCTATAAATGATAGGTTTAGATGCTTTACATAATCTCAAATTTTTCAAAGTCTTCATTCATTTCTTTATTTTTTAAAAATTTTTATCTGACTTGGTTAATTTAAAAGACTGGTCTTCATACACTGAAATTCTTTCATCTTCTTGGTCTATTCTATTGCTAAAGTGTTAAAGAGTATTTTCAAATTATTTCAGTAATTTTTTTTATTTCTAGAAGTCTTTGTTTTTTAGTTGTAATACATTAATTTCATTTTATTTCCTGAATTTTTTGTATGATTTCTTTGTGTTGGTTTTCAACTTTCTTTTTGATCTTATTGAGCTTTCTTACAATCTGTGTTTTGAATTTGCTACTTGTAATTTAAGAATTTTCATTTTGGTTAAGAATAATTCATAGAGAGCTATTGTGATCCTTTGGGGTGTGAAAACACTCTGTGTTTTTCTGCTGCTGGAGTTCTTGCACTGATTTCTTCTTATCTGAAGAAGCTGTCAGTTATTAGTTTTAAATTTTATATCATTTAAATGAGAAATTTTTATTTTTAATTATTTTCTCCCTTGAGTGTCTGACTGTAATGTATGCTGTGTATGGTTATTTGGCTTCATTTTTGTGTCCTTTCAGAGAACCACATCAGTGTATATGGTTTTCTTGGTTATAGATTTTTTTTGTGCCTTTCTTTTCTTTTCTTTTTTTTTTTTTTTTTTTTTTTTGAGACAGAGTCTCACTCTGTCACCCAGGCTGGAGTGCAGTGGCACCATCTCGGCTCACTGCAAACTCTGCCTCCTGGGTTCACGCCATTCTCCTGCCTCAGCCTCCCGAGTAGCTGGGACTACAGGCGTCTGCCACCACATCCGGCTAATTTTTTATATTTTTAGTAGAGATGGGGTTTCACCGTGTTAGCCAGGATGGTCTCCATCTCCTGACCTCGTGATCCGCCCGCCTCGGCCTCCCAAAGTGCTGGGATTACAGGCATGAGCCACCACGTCCGGCCTGTGCCTTTCTTAAATGCTGTTTAATGTATTTAGCATATGAGACAACTTGGTATCTTTTGCAGTGCTGAGAGTTTGAAGGTCTCTGAAAGTTTATCATACCTTTGCTGTATGCCTTTTTGTCAGCATATTTTTTATTTGATGGTGCAATTCAGTCTCCAATGAAGTAGGTGAAGCTTTAGAGTAAAAAGCCAGCCAACCCTTGGTTACCCTGATCATGAGTGGAAGTGCATGCCTTGACCAGGAAGGTGGGAGCAGTCTGTGATGTGGTGTGCTATGTAAAAAGAATCAGGGAGGGGATTGCACCAGTTTCCTTTCCTGGGCAGGCAGAAAAAGGATCCACTTTCTTATTATTCCTCTGTCATGGGGGTTTCAACCTTCCATTTAAATACACACTGTTTTTTATTTGCAGGCTACAGTGGAATTGAGGTCCATGAAAAAGGCTTGTGAGGTAGCCACCGGCAAAACGGCCTTGAGGCAGAACCTCTTTCCCTAGTTGAAAACAGACAGCTCTGTGGCTTGTCTGACCTATGTTGCAGGGATGAAGCCACTCTATGTAGGGAAAGGGAGATAAGCCCCACTCTTCATGCAAGCCTGGGAAGCAGCAGGCTCCCTTTCAGCAGAGGTGAAGCTGTCATGAATAGCACTGGAGAAGCTGTATCTGCACCCTCAGTGGGAAAAGCCTTTGCCATATCTGCAGCAGTGAATAGAGGGAGCAGGAGAGGACTCCCTCTCTACATCTATTCCCAGCCACTGGAGCTGCCTATCCACTGGGGTGGAATAAAGCTCCTTAATTCAGAGATCAACACTGCACCCATGCTTCCTGTGTCCCAGGGAGTGCATTAGCAGACTGTGCTCTCCTTTCTTCTACAGGCAGCCTGCACCATATGACAGATCTCCAGGAATCCTGCTGCTCCCTAGTGTCCCACTGGTCCCCTGTTGTTCCTAAATTTAGAATGGGTTCTTGAGTATGTTTGTGGGGAATCTGGCAATACAATGACACAAGAGCTGAGATTTCCTGGACAGGGTAGTGGCCAAAAATGAGTGCATAACCAGTATGGTGCCTGTTGCCTTAATTGAGGTTTGAGGGAAGTGCAAGTGCACCTGCACAAGCTAGTCACCCAATGTTCTGTTTCCAGGAAGCTTCCAAATTACCACTAACCACATTGCATGAGTTTGTGAGGATGAAGTCAGAGGGGCTCTGTAGGGGTTCAGTCAGGATGGTGGGAAAAATTGTAAAATAAACACAAATCTTCTTGGAAGGCCAGAAGGTTTTTCACAAAAGCCTCAGGATAAAGTTATGGTTGAAGGCAGCCTAATCATCTTTGAGCTATAGCAAGGGTAATTAACATAGGAGTGTAGAGGAGTCTATCTAAATAGCTTGTTTACTCATGTGGTCCTAAGACCAACCTTTGATAAACCGCAGGTGCATAATTGCTCTCTGCTTGAGGGGTTGGTAACCAAGTTAATTGCCCATAGGTGTGTTGACTCAAGCTTTTGTCAGTTAAATCTGTACTAAGTAAATGTGAGCATTGCTAGCTTAGAGAGGCCACAAACTCTCTTCAGCTCCTAGTGCCGGCAGCCCCCTGGCCCACTCTTTCACTGAATATCAGTGTCTGAGTAAGTGTCTCATCCATCGTGCAGCTGGGGTCTGCAGGACAGACCCCCACAGGGCTCTTAAACAATTTAGAGGTTAACTGTCTCTCACAGGAGTGAAAGGATCAAAGAAATACCCCCACCTATCCTTTCCACGGGACTCCAAGTACCTTAGGGGTTAATCTCTGCCAGATTCTTGCTGCCTTCCTTTCCTGTGCCCAGTTGCTTTCTCTGAATTCTCCAACAGGTTTTGTCACTCTTCCCTGATATTTCAACTTATTTCATGACCATTGATCTGTAATTTTCATATTCTCTCTGAGGGGAATTGGCATCTGACATCAATATTCAGCCACCTTGAAAAAAATAAAATGCAATTCATTTTCAAAAAGTTTTAAAGTCAAGTATATTTTAAAATATGTATATGCTAAATTTCACCAACACATCAGACTTTGGACCTAATAGAGAATTAATATTGTCTTAAAAATATGTGGTATAAAAAATTTAATTATCTACTAGACCATAATGTAAATATAGAAAAATCTAAAAAACTAAAACTAAAACATATTCACAAATCACAAAACAATAGTAAACAAATGAAAGTAATTTCCTAAAATAAATTCATCTAGAAATTAAAAACACACTGATATTAGTAAACCATTTGTAAGTTAATATAGACATCATTGAAAAATTATTATGCACCAAAATAAAAACATTTATAAAAATCCTATAGGAAAAGTACAGAAAAGTAAGCATGAACAATAAGAGCTAAAAATGCCCTCATTAAGACTCACATTTAATTGAAAGTAAACTACTCTTTTAAACCATGAATCTAGAAAAAGGGCAACAAAATAAACTAAAAATAAAATAACGCAATTAATAATAATAAATAGTAATTAACAATATAAGCAAAAACCTCAAGGCTGAATTATAAAATATTGTTTCTTTAATAAAATTATTAGAAGAAGAAAGAAGGTAAAAAAGATGTCAATGATGAAAAATTAAAATAGAAACTAAAGACAGACTCAAAAATGTTTTTCAAAAAATAATTACGTATACAATTTCATAACGATTTATTTTAAAACCTAAAATAAATACATTTTATTAAAAAATATTCCTAAATTTGGCTGAATTAGTAAACACTTAATATTCACACAATTTTTAGAAAATTGCTAGAGTTATTTATAAAAGAGACAGAATAAGTATTACCAAAACTTTATTTTTATTTTTAATTTTTTAAATTTTTTTTGAGATAGCATCTTGCACTGTCACCCAGGCTGGAGTACAGTAGTGCAGTGGTGTGATCACAGCTCACTGCAGCCTCAAACTCCCTGGGCTCAGATGATCCTCCTACCTCAGCCTTCTAAGTAGCTGGGACTACAGGCATATGCCACCGTGCCCAGCTATGTTTTTTGTATTTGTTGTAGAGATGGGTTTTGGTCATGTTGTCCATTTTGGTCTCAAACTCCTGGGCTCAAGCAATCCACCTGCCTTGACCTCCTAAATTGCTAGAATTACAGGCATGAGCTACCATGCCCTACCCGAAACCTTTAAAGAAGAGACAATTCCCATCACATGTAAACTCTTTCTGTACATATGAAAATATGTGAAGACACTAAACATATTTATTAGGCTAGAACAACCTTGACAACCAAACAAGGTAAGGACAACACCAAATAGGAAAATCATAGATCTCAATTATCAACATAGATACAGACATTCTAAATAAAATTATTAGCATAGAGAGTTCAACTGTATGCTACCCAATAGTAATTCATGACCAAATAATGTTTTTACCAGGAAAGCAAGAGTGAATCAACATTTAATTACTTCGTGTAATTTATTACATCACTATATTCACATGATCATCTCAATAGCTGTCCTCCAAAAGCAATTGCTAAATTTCAATGGTTAAACAACTGTCACAGTTAATGGTAAGACATCTGCAGTATTGCTATTAGGATCAGATATGAAGTAACGCATCCACTAATATTCAATATTGGACTAAAAAGCTAAGCCAAACATGATAAGAAAATGATGATATACTATTAGAAAGTTATAAAAAATTTATTATTGGACATGATATCACTTTCTATGCTTTATAAAAACAGTAAACTAAAATGCATTTAGAATTAATATAAGGTTTCTAATTGGTAGCATGATACAAGATTAGCACAAATAAATCAATAGGATGACTGATAACTATCAGCAATGTCTGATTGTCAAATAGAAATGAAAACTCAGTCACATTAGCCTCAAAAATTACAAACTGTATAAAAATTAACCTAACAAAAAAGTAGTAAGAACTTCTCAGGAACAACAACAACAACAATAAAAAGCCACCACCACCACCACCACCAACAACAAAAACATTTCATAGGACATAATAGAAGAATTAAGTAGTTGGAGAAAGATACTATGTTCATCATGGATGATGGAAAGACCCATAGTCCAAAAACCTGACAAAACTCCATTAAAATTTTTAACATGGTATTCCAAAGAATTAAGAAGCTGATTCTAAAGTTTATAGAAATCTAAAGAAAAAACTGAGTTTTAACCTAGAAAAAACGTGTTTGTTGATGAGGAAATAATGTGGTCCCTCTTCTTCAGCAGAATTAGAAGTGGATGAAGTTAAATAATGTAGATCAATCTCAGAAAAATGATAATCACTTATTTAAACACCTCACTGTCAGTATCTTGGGTTATACTGAAACAGTTCTACTACCTAATTAGATAACTCCTAATAACAACAGGGACACTGAAATAGAAAGATCTGTGTATATAGGTGGTTTAGAGAACAACTGTTTAAAGTGCCTGGACAAATAAATAGAGAAGGGTAGAAGAAAGCAATGAGCTAGCCTCTTTTTGCAGAACTCATCATGCAGGAAGACAGAGCAACTCCTACCAGTGGAAGGTCTTGATATAAATATATTGTTCATCCAGAGTATGTAAATGAAAGAGACAGATTTACATAATCCAACTGGAAAGTTTAGAGAGAGTAACTAGGTAAATGTGACTCTGTCCATTCTCTTGGGAGCAGGTCTATTCCCAGAGGGCATGTCTTCTCACTTGGTCTTGGCCATCTATGGAGGTAACTTAGCAACAAGGCAGGAGTTAGTTCTTAACCTTTCTAGTACATTAAATGCCCAGGGGATATTTTTAAAATAATGAAGTCTAAGCTCCACCTACAAATGGAGCCTGGGCACTGGGATTTTTCAAATAGTCTTGAGATGATTCTAATATTCAGTTATGATTAAGAACCATAGCATTAGGGGTTTTACAGTATTTTGTGAGTAAGAAGGCACTGCAGATTTGAAGGATAAGTTTTATTCAGGGAAGACGTATATTCTAGTGTGTTGGACTGCTGGGAACTTTGAGACAGAAATTATTGGTGGAGTTTTGAAAAGAAAAGCATACATCGATCAAGGCTTCTGATATAGCCAGGACAACTGTCTTTAAAATTTGCAAGTGTATTCACTGAAAGAGACTCTTCTTTATTCTGGAAATATGCATGTTTTAATTTAATTTTTTTTTTAGTGTTAAAATAACATTTCTGAGCTGGGGGAAATTAGGTGGTGATTGTGTTTTTTATGTTCTTATTTCAAAAATTAAGATACTGGCAACTTCATTTGAGTATCTTTTTTCAAAAAAAAATTGTCATTAGTTGACAGATATAAAAACCAGTAAATCACTACACTGGCTTCTTTAGCCCAAGGGCTTATCACCTCATTCATTTATTTTCTGTCATTCCTCTACGCTGCTCACAGGAATGGCAGTTATTCAGCTGATATCTTACAGTGGCTTATATTGTGCAGTTTAGCTGCTTATTTTAATTGTTGAATGTCTTGTTAATTGGAGAACCTTGGGTGTGACAGCTTTTGGCCCTAACTGGGTTACCCATGAGAATTTGACCTGAGCTGTTTACTTGTCATCTGCAAGCAAACAGCTGTTTTTATATAAAAGCATAACCATTTAGGCTTCAGCAAAGGTATGGATCTTGGCGGCTTCAAGGAAACACCTTGCCTCAAAAGGGTATAGACCATAGTGTGCATAGAGGGGTACTTAATCACACACTGGATGTACAGGGTAGCAGGCAACACCTGGACCTGCAAGCTAGCTACTGCAAAGGCATGACTACTAGGACAGTCCTAGACAAATTGTGTGTGATTATAAGGTGCAGGCTGCTAATCTTTCCTTTTGAACTACAAAAATTTCATTTAGCTTGGTATTGCAGATGGTTGTGTAATGAGGATACAGAATTAAATTTAAAAAACCTAAAAGGCAATGTCCAAAAAATAGACTTTTAGAGAAAACACCACAAAATTAGTTGTTTTAAAGAAGAGGAAGAATAATAATAAATCAAATTTAATCCTCAGATAAATGTTGGTCTGACAGAAGGTTATCTTCTGGCTGAGATTATACAATTCAGGAAAACGAAGGAGATTTTTTTCTAATAGGAAAATCTGGGAAAGATTCAGGACTTAATGATTTGGGAATATATTGGAAAAACTAATTACTGGGCCAGAAAGTAAAGGTAAAGTAAAAGAATAGAAGATAGTCAGATCTAGAAAAGAGTGCAAACCCTGTATGTGTTGGGAAAGAAATAGATCAACTTTAGAAGCAGATAAAATTTTATCAAGGATTATGGCCTCCAGCTCCATCCATGTCCCTGTAAAGGACATGCTCTCATTCTTTCTATGGCTGCATAGTATTCCATGGCGAACATGTACCACATTTTCTTTATCTAGTCTATCATTGTTAGGCATTTAGGTTGATTCCATGTCTTTACTATTGTAAATAGTGCTGCAATGGACAAGACCAGAAAACTAAATACTGTATGTTCTCACTTGTAAGTGGGAGCTAAATGATAAGAACACATGGACACATAGAGGAAAATAACATACACTGGGGCCTTTTGGAGGGTGGAGGCTGCGGGGAGGAAGAGGATTTTAAAAAATAACTAATGGGTGGCCGGGCGCGGTGGCTCACGCTGTAGTCCCAGCACTTTAGGAGACCGAGGCGGGTGGATCACAAGGTCAGGAGACCATCCTGGCTAACACGGTGAAACCCGGTCTCTACTAAAAATACAAAAAATTAGCCAGGCATGGTGGCACATGCCTGTAGTCCCAGCTACTCAGGAGGCTGAGGCAGGAGAATCACTTGAACCCGGGAGGCGGTGGTTGCAGTGAGCCAAGATCGCGCCACTGCACTCCAGCCTGGGCGACAGAGCACAACTCTGTCTCAAAAAAAGAAAAAAAAAAACTAATGGGTATTAGACTGAATACTTGTGATGAAGTAATCCGTACAACAATTCCTCATGACACAAATTTACCTATGTAACAAAAACCTGCACTTGTGCCCCAGAACTTAAAATAAAAGTTAAAAACATGGTAATGATATATGAATGTTATTTTCTTGACTGTGGTGGTTTTACTGTAGTTATGTTAGGGAATGTCCTTGTTTGTCAGAAACAAACAAATATTTGGGAGTGAAGAGGCATCATATTGGCAACACTCTCAAATTGTTCTGGTGAAACAAGTTCTTTATACTGTACTTGAGATTTTCTGTAGGTTTGGGATTGTTTCTAAAACTTAGAAAGTTAACAATATTGAACTATTAATGTGCTATAGGTATTGACTGATCAGAATGGACATAAGTTATTAACAACTGGGCCATGTCAACAAGATATCAGCCCTGGTGTGAGATGGCAATTTATTTTACCTTTCCTGAAACAAATAGTCAGTTATTCCAACTCCATTAATTAAATAGGGCATTCTTTCCCCAATGATGTGAATTGTCATCTTTAGTAAATACATATGTTCACACACATAGGTCTATTTATGAATTGTCTGTTCTATTCCACTGATGTACTTATTTGTTTTTCCAACAAGTTGCATAATCTAGTACCATGCTTTGCCTACAATGTCTTTATAGAATAATAATGCCTGGTTGGGAAAGTCTTTTCTCTTAACAGATTCCTGCTTATGAAAATTATCTAGATTTTTTTGAATAATAATTCATTCATATAAGTCATAGAATCAGTGCTCAAAGTACGTGAAAAATCCTATATGTATTTTAATTAGGATTGCAGTCATGCATCACTTAACAACAGGGATATGTTCTAAGAAATTGATTGGTAGGCAATTTCATCATTGTGGGAACATCATACAGCATCCTTACACAAACATAGGTGATATAGCCTTTATGCACCTAGCCTATGTCATATAGCCTATTACTAGTAGGATACAACCCTGTATAACATATTACGGTACTGAATAATACAGACAATTGTAACACAATGGTAAGTATTTGTGAATCTAAACATATATAAACATACAAAAGTAAAGTAAAAATATAATATTATAATCTTATGAGACCATTGTCATATGTGTGGTCCATGGTCCATCATTGACTAAAACATTGTTAGGTGGCATGACTGTACTTTAAAAGTCCCATATGTTGCATCTGAAATTTAAATAATGTCACATTCTTTCTTGTTGCAGGCAGTACAAGATGAGTCAATTTTTTCTTCAATTTGGTGGAGATATTTGTACATGCTTCAGACTATCAAACCCCAATATTGTTTGAGGCCCTAAATTTGTGTGGGTTTTTCTGCCAACTCCTGTTGTGCGTGTGTCTCAGTAATAGCTGGAGAGAATGACCCATTCTATGAATGTCTGACAATTTTTCCCCCAGTTGTCTCAGTGCTTGTTTAGTAGAATAAATGGTTATGATAGCAATGATGGAGATTATGCACAGGCTCAATCAACACCTTGCCCCTGCTACTCTCTTGTAAGTAGTAGTTATTCAGTCACTAATCTCAAAATACACTGATCTGTCCTTTAGTATGCCACACTTTGTTCCACCTTTGGGCCTTTTCAATAGAATTTCTTCCAGCTAAAATATTCATATCTGGTTGATCCCTTTTTGTCACTGTTATTTCAGCTTAAATGCCACTTTCTCAAAGAAACTTTTTCTAACGACCAAATCTAAAATAACCATATTTTTATTCTTTTTCATATCACCTAATTCAATTTTTTGCATAAGACTATCTATTTAATGGTCTACCTATTCCCAACTACAATGTAAGTCCCATGTAATCAGTCTGATATACTAATTGCTTTATACTCAGCAGCAAAAACATTGTTAAAGACATAACAGAAATTCAATACTTAATTTTGAAATGAATAGAGGCAAATGCCTTCATGTCTTATTACTAGACTATGAGTTTATCTTACAGTAAGTGAGAGAAGCTTGTCAATTACTTATTGATCTTTTATTGATTTAGAAGAAAGTGGTTCAAAGAGAGGTGTCCACCATAAGGACCTAAAAGAAAAATGGAAAAATTAAGCACCACTCTATGTTCTTCTGTTTTTATAGTCTTCATAATCCTTTAGATGTCATGCTTACCTTCCATAACTATGGACTTTGATTTCCTGTTATCAAGATGTTTTAATGCAATGTTATTGTATTAGTAAAATAATATGACAACATAATTTTAATTAAAATGTTAATGGTTAATGACTGTGGGAGTTAATTCTTTCAGGAATACTCAAAATTTAATGAAGAGCTCTGGAAGGCCACAAAAGTTTTAAGAGTAATTGAAAGCTATAACAACAATCAATTTTGTTCTTCAAGAATGTTCCACCAACTTGTATTTTTAATCAAGTTCTATTGAAGGCCTTGTCAAAATCCAAAATTTTATAAAATTTTTTTTCATGAAAAAGACCCTTTTTGGGGTAATTATAGGTTGAATAGTTGACCAAAATCCTTTTTGTATTTGCTTCAAAAGCTTTTGTAGCCAACTAATATTAACTTACAATATTCATGAAAAACAGTGACTGAGCAGTTGTATTAATCAGGGTTCTCTAGAGGGACAGGACTAATAGGATAGATGTATATATGAAAGAGAGTTAATTAAAGAGTATTGACTCCCACAGTCATAAGGTGAAGTCCCACAATATACCGTCTGCAAGCTGAGAAGGAAGCCAGTACAAATCCCAAAACCTCAAAAGTAAAGAAGTCAACAGTGCAGCCTTCCGTTTGTGGCTGACGGCCCGAGAGCCCCTGGCAAACAACTGGTGTAAGCCCAGGAGTCCACAAGCTGAAGAACTTGGAGTTTGATGTTTGAGGGCAGGAAGAATCCAGTACAGAAGAAGGACAGAGGCCAGAAGACAGCCAGCCTAGTTCTTCCATGCTTCTCTGCCTGCATTTATCCTAGCCATGCTGGCAGCTGATTAAATGGTGTCCACCCGGATTGAGGGTGGGTCTGCCTCTCCCAGTCCACTGACTCAAATATTAATCTCCTTTGGCAACACTCTCACAAACACACAGAAGAACAACACTTTGCATCCTTCAATCCAATCAAGTTGACACTCATTATTAACCATTGCAGGGGTTTGGTGAAGAGTCAAATACTAAATTCACATCTCTTTGATAAAAGATCTCTGCCTCTCTTAATCTATAATTTCAAACGTGAAATCTGGAAAACTAACATGGAAGAATGACACTGGGTTTCATTTTCAATTTTGTCAGTGTTAGTTTAACCATGAGAAAGACACTTTCCCTCTAGTGGCTTCTGTCTCCTTTTGTAAAATAAGAAAGTTAGGTAAAAATAATCTCCAGCATTCTTTCATATAGACATCTTACGTTTCTTTCAATCTGCAGTGGTTTCGCAGGTTTAGAAAAACATAGACCACATTTGGAGAGAGGCAAATTTTTTTTTTTTAAATCTCAGCAGGTATAAAGAAGCTGGTCACTTAACCCCAAATTTTAATCCAAATCTGTTTATCTCATATTTGAAGTTTTAACTCTTCAATTTAACATCTTTTATTTGCATCCAGAGCTAGGTGCTGGATTCTAGGGTTTTTTTTTTCCTTAGGCTGATTTCCTCTATTTTGATTGTAGTCAACCTATTTGGATTTTTACTTTCTGAAAAACGTAGAAATTCTATGTTGATGGGGCCAGCAACATAGGGGCTAAGAGACTAACCGCTAGAGGGCAATGAATGTTCTTCCTTATTGATTGAAGCTATCAACATCATAAATTTAAGATAATTGTATGGTCATATGAACCCTATTTTTTATGTTTCTTTTCAATGACGGTTTAGTTGTCCTACTCTAATGCAGTTACAGATAGAAAAAGATAAAACTTGAAACATTTGGCAGGGATATCTGCTAGTAAGAGGCAAATAAGTATATTAAAGCCAAATGTCTTTACATGTAATGCTACTGTTGCATTGCAAAAATTGACAACAACATTAAGTCTGAGTAAAATATAAAAATAATCTTTCTACATACACACAAATAAAATTTTCAGGAATATTTGTTTGTTTCAAGAGAATTTGAAGTTCTGTTTTGAAAAGAAAATTTATTATTACAGAGTTTCAATACTATTATTTTCATCATCACAGGGGAAGCTTTTATTTTTATCATTGCAATGTAGCTGGTCTATAAGCAGCTTCTGGTCATTTTTATGAACACATCACCAATAAATCCATATGAATTTATTAATAGCATTTTGAAAAAAACATATTGAAAAGAGCAAGAAGAATTTTAAAGCATCAGAAATTCTTTCTTAAACATTGCAGATTTTGATAAGATGTCAGCATAGGCACAAGAAAACAATATGTAAGTTATCAAACCTTAACTTGTAAATTTTATGCAGAGGAAAGCCTCATAAATCCTAAGTCTAAATCACATCACCATGAAACATGGTTTGAGGCCCAAGGCTACTCAAATACATATGGTAGTGTGGTCTATTAGAAAGCACAATGGACTAGGAATTAGAAAGCTTAGGTTGTACTGTTAATTCTTTCACTAGGTTGACATACATTATAACCCCTAATGTGAGCCTCAACTTTTTCTATATAATGGGGTAATAATGTCAGACTTTCATGTTCCACAGGTTTAAGAATACTGAATTAGATAAATATGTTATAAAACATTCTTTGAGTTTATCCTACTTAGAGGGCATTAAGCTTCTTGAATTTTTGAATTAATATGTGTCATCAAATTTTGGTTATTATTTTTTCAAATATTTTCCTCTCTCTCTTTCTATTCTCTTTTTCCAGAACTTCTATTATGTGTACGATGGTTCTCTTGAGTTGATGATGGTCTCTGAGGTTCTGTCTTTTTTCTTTATTTTCTCTTCTTTTTGTTCTAGGATTACATCATCTCAATTGGCCAGTTGTTAAGTTTGATGACTGCTTCTTCTGTCTCCTCAAATATGCTGTTAAATTCTTCTCTTTAATTTTGCATTTTAATTATATTAGCTTACAACTTTAGAATTTCATTTGATTATTTTATTGACTTCTATTTCTTTATTGATGTTCTCTATTTGGCGGAAGATTGTTTTTATATTTTCCTGCAGTTCTACAGATATGCTTTCCTTTACTTATTTTAAACTATTTAAGGATTTAGGCAAGATGGCTGTCTAGACACAGCCAAGAGAAACATCTGCCACTGAGGGACCAGGACACTGGGAATATTTGCACACTCTGAGAAAATCTTCAGAAGAAAGGCATTGTGAGTGGACAGAGGAAGAAGATAGATGTTGGGCTGAAGGGGGAGGAACCTGGGATGCCTGCATGGGGCTATGACATATCAACACTCATGCTTGCCCCCAGTGACTCCAGGGGAAAATGTGAGTTGAGCAGGCAAGAATCAACCCACTCTTGCCATAGCCCTTTGGAATTCCGACAGTAGGAGAACCCTTGATGCCCACAGACACGTGAGCTGGCAGGGAAAGCTGTTCAGAGAGGTAATAGGGGAAGAACTCTAGCCAATGTGGAATCTAGAGAGTTTGTTGTGAAAGCATCTACAGTGGAACATAGCCAGTGATGGCCATTTCACCTTGCTCCCCTAAGAAACTTTAGCCTATGGAGAACTGTCAGACCTAAAGAGAACAGGGTAATCGTGCTCGTGAGATGGGGCTGGTTCAATGTGAGTTTTTCCCTGTCTGCTGGTTTTTCCCAGGGCTACAACCTGGTCATGCCTGCTTGCAGTCCAGCCTAGGATGCCCAGCCAGGGTGCCTCCTAGGGGCCAGTATCATAGGTTCTTCACTGGCTGACCACATCTGACCACCAGAGAGCTCCAGCAGAGCGGCCCCCACTGAAGTGCAGCAGTCCTCCCATGCACTGTCCCTACCAGAGCCTCACCCATGCCACTTTGCTGGCACAAACTCATGCATGGCCACCCCACACATTGTTTTGCCAGTGCACGCACATGGGCAAACTTCATATTCCCTTTCCTGCTGCTGGTGTGTGTGTGTGCATGTACACCCCACTGTGCCACTGCTGCTGGCATGTGAGCACCCTATACTTCCTACTGTGCCACCATCGCCAAGGCAAATGCATGCACAGAAGCCAGTGACCCCACATCCCACCCTGTGCCACCACTGCCACCAGTGTGAATGCATGTACAGAAGGGCCAGACTAGTGCCCTCCAGTGCCCCACATCCATGCTGACACCAGCTCTGACATAAACATGTATAAAAATGGCAGCAATCATGCACCCCACACTCCATGTGTCTCACTGCCACCATTACAACTGCAAATGGCTACATGGGGGCTGGCACCACCATGCCTGACAATGATGCACCAGAGCAGATAAGCATGAAGCCCATCTCACTGCCACTGCTGCTGTCACATACAAATGAGCACAGATCTCACTGCCACCTTCCAATGAAATGCTTGGGCTCTTACCATCTATTGGAGTGTGTGACTAACAGTCTGCGAACACTTTGGCCCCTCAAGCAAAGCAGTCCTAACCTAGAGGGACCAGAAAGCAAAGCTAGTGGCTGGATACCAATCCCTCCCCCAGAGTTACAGCATGCAACTCAGGAGTCCTGAGATGAAACCTGGCCCCCTAAAATCCTTCAGAAAGGAAGACAGTTGACTGAGCCTACCTAATACCACAACCAAACAACTCAGGATATCAAAGAACATAAAAGAAAAATCTATCTATCCAAAAGACAGCAACTTCAAAGATTGAGGGATCATCAGCTGACAAAGACTAGAAAGAGCCAGTGCAAGAACTCTGGCAATTCAAAAAGCCAGAGTGTCTTTCTACCTCCAAATGACCACACTATTTCCACAACAATAGTCCTTAACCAGACTGAAATAGCTGAAATATGAGAAAATGAATTAAGAATTTGGATAAAAATAAAAATCATCAAGATTCAGTCAAAACTCATTCTAAGGTTTCAAAGGAATACAAAAAATGATAGAGAAGATGAAAAACAAAATGTCCATTTTAATAAAGAATCAAACTGATCTGATAAGTTGAAAAACCCACTTTAAGAATTTCAGATTACAACTGCAAGTATGGATACCAGAATCAACTAAGCTGAAGAAAGAATTTGAGTGCTCAAAGACCAGCTCTCCAAAATAACAGTCAGAGAAAAATAAAGAAAAACAAGAAGAATAAACACAAACAAAAAATATGGTATTATGAAAAGAGACAATATCTGTGACTCATTGGCATTACTAAAAGAGAGGAAGAGAAAGCAAGAAACCTGGAACACATATTTATTTCAGGATATTGTTCCTGAAAATTTCCCCAACCTCCCTAGAGAGGCCAACATTCAAATTCAGGAAATGCAGAGAACCCCTATGAAATACTAAACAAGGAGACCATCCCTAAGACACACAGATCCTCCAAGGGCAAAATGAAAGAAAAAATGTTAAAGACATATGGAAAGAAGGGGAAGATCACCTACAAAGAGAACTCCATCAGGCTAGCAGAAACGCTACAAGCCAGAAGAGATCACAGCATATATTCTGCATTTTTAACGAAAAGCGATTCCAACCAAGAATTTTATATCTAGCCAAATGAGGTTTCTAAAGAAAAGGAGAAAAAATGATACTTTTTAGACAAGCAAATGCCAAGAGAATTTATTACCAACAAAACTTGCCTTAAAATAAGTAATGAAGAGAGTGCTAAATATGGGCAGAAAAGACCTTTGCCAGCCACTACAAAACCAAACTTAAGTACATAGACCAATGACATCATAAAGCAACCACAGAAACAAGTCTGCATAACAACCTGTTAACATGATGACAGGATCAAATCCACAGATATCAATACTATGCATGGGCTGAATGACCCAATTAAAAGGCACAGACTGGCAAGTTAGATAAAGAAGCAAGACCCAGTGCTATGCTGTTTTCCAGAGATTCACTTCATATGCAATGACACCCATATGCTCAAATTAAAGAGATGAAGAAAAACCTACCAAGCAAATGGAAAACAGACAAAAACAGAGGTTGCTATTGTAATTTCAGACAGAACAGACTTTAAACTCACAAAGTTTTCTTTTTAAAGACAAAGAAGAACATCACATAATGCTAAGGGTTCAACTCAGCAAGAACACCTAACTATCCTAAATAAATCCACACCCAAAACAGGAACAACCAGATTTATAGACCAAGTCCTTACAGACATATGAAGAGATTAGAAAACCACACAATAATAGTGGGAGACATCAACACTCTACTGACTGTCCATTGCATTAGACTCTCCATTGAGGCAGAAAACTAAGAAAAATATTTCTGACCTGAACTCAATACTTGACCAAATATACCTAAAAGACATCTACAGAACTCTCAAACTCAAAACAACAGAACTTCTCATCTTCACATGGCATGTAGTCTAAAATCAACCACATAATCAGACATAAAACAATGTCCTCAACAAATAAAAAAGTAAAACCCAAATCCTACCAACCACATTTTTGGACCACAGCAAAATAAAAGTAAAAATCCATACTAAGAAAATCACTCAAAACCAAACAATTATATAAAAATTAAACAACCTGCTCCTGAATCACTTCTGGGTAATTAATGAAATTAAGGTACATGTCAATAAATTATTTGAAGCTAATGATAACAAAGATACAACATACTAGTAAAAGAGAAAACCAACCACAAAGCTATAGGAAGACAAGAAGTAACCATTTCATGGGTGACCTGAAGGAAATTGAGATATGGAAACAATACAAAGGATCAATCAATTCAGGAGTTCTTTGAAAGAATTAATAAGACAAATATACTACTATCTAGAACTATAAACAAAAAAAGAGAGAAGATTCAAATAAACACAATCAGAAATGACAAAAGAGATGTTACTACGGACTCCACATAAATACAGAAAACTCTCAATGACTACTATAAACACCTGTATGCATACAAACTAGATAACCTAGAAATGATGGAAAAATTCATGGAAACATACAACCTTCCAAGATTCAACCAAAAGCAATTGAATACCTGAACAGACTAATAATGAGTACTGAAACTGAATCAGTATTAAAAGTCCAACCAACCAGAAAGAACACAGGACCAGACAGATTCACAGCCAAATTTTACCAGATGTATAAAGATAATATGGTACTATTCCTTTTGAAATGACTGCAAAAAATTGAGGAGAAAGGAAACTTCTCTAACTCATTCTGTGAGTCCAGCATCATCCTGATAACAAAAACTGGCAGAGACACAACAAAAAAAAAGAAAACCTCAGGCCAACATCCTTGATGAACACAGATGCAAAATATTTAACAAAATACTAACAAACCAAATCTAGCAGCATATCAAAAAATCTAATCCATCACAATTAAGTAGGCTTTATCCCTGCTTGGGATGGAAGGTTGGGTCAACATAGGCAAATGAAGACATGTGATTCATTACATAATCAGAACTAAAACCAAAAACCACATGAGTATCTCAATAGATGCAAAAAAAGGAGCCAGGAGTGGTGGCTCACACCTGTAATCCCAGCACTTTGGGAGGCTGAGGCAGGTGGATCACTTGAGGTGAGGAGTTCAAGACCAGCATGGCCAACATGGCAAACCCATCTCTACTAAAAATACAAAAATTAGCCGGGCGTGGTGGTGGGCACCTGTAATCCCAGCTACGCAGGAGGCTGAGGCAGGAGAATCACTTGAACCTGGGAGGCAGAGGTTGCAGTAAGGCAAGACTGCACCACTGCACTCCAGCCTGGGCAACAGAGCAAGACTCTGTCTCAAAAAAAATAAATAAATAAAAAGGATTTATATAAAATTCAACATTCCTTCATGTTAATAATTCTGAAGCAACTAGACATTGAAGAAACATAATTTAAAATAATTAGAGCCATCTATTACAAGCCCACAGCTAGCATCATACTGAATTGGCAAAAAATAGAAGGCTTCTCTTTGAAAACTGGAACAAGGCAGGATGCCCTCTTTCATCAGTCTTATTTAACTATTTTATTGGAAGTCCTGGCAAGGGTAATCTGGCAAGAGGCAGGAATAAAATGCATGCAAATAGGAGGAGAGAAAGTCAAAGTATCCCTGTTTGCAGAAAATATGATCCTATACCTAGAAAACCCCATAGTCTCTGCCCCAAAACATGTTGATCGTCTAAGCAACTTCAGCAAAGTTTTAGGATACAAAATCAATGTACAAAAATTAGCAGCATTCCTGTACACTAACAACATCCAAGCTGAGAGGCAAATCAAGGATGCAATCCTGTTTACAATAGTCACAAAAAGTATAAAATACCTAGGAATACAGCTAACTAGGGAGGTGAAAGATTTCTACAATGAGAATTTCAAAACACTGATGAAACAAATCAGAGAGAAAACAAATAAATGCAAAAACATTCCATGCTTATGGATTGGAAGAATCAATATTATAAAAATGGCTGCACTGCCCAAAGCAATTTACAGATTCAATGACATTCCTATCAAACTAACAACAACATTCTTCACAGAATTAGAAAAAAATGATTGTAAATTTTATATGGATCCAAAAAAAGAGCTTGAATAGCTAAGGCAATACTAAGCAAAAAGGACAGAGCTGGAGGCATCACATTACCTGATTTCAAACTATGCTACAAGGTTACAGTAACTGAAACAGCATGGAACTGGTACAAAAACCAACACATAGACCAATGGAACAGAACAGAGTCCAGAAATAATGCCACACACATACAACCTTCTAATCTTTGTCAAAGTCAACAAAAACAAGCAATGGGAAAAGGACTCCCTATTCAATAAGTGGTGCTAGAATAATTGGTTAGCCATATGCAGAAGATTGAAACTAAACTCCGTTCTTACACCATATACAAAAAATTAACTCACAATAGATTGAAGACTTAACTATGAAACCTGAAACTATAACAACCCTGGAAGATAACCTAGGAAATTCCATTTTGAATAAAACCAGGCAAATATTTCATGACAAAGATGCCAAAGGTAATTGCATCAAAAACAAAAATTGATAAATAGGACCTAAACTAAAAAGCTTCTGCACAGCAAAATAAACTATCCACAAAGTAAACAATCAGTCTACAGAATGGGAGAAAATATTTTTAAACTATGCATCTGACAAAGGTCTAATATCCAGAATCTATAAGGAACTTAAACTAATTCATAAGCAAAAAAAAAACCAAACTCATTAAAAAGTGGTCAAAGGACATAAATAGACACCATTCAAAAGAAGACATACATGTGAGCAACAAGCATATGAAAAAACGCTTAATGTCACTAATCACTGGAAAAATACAAATCAAAACTACAATGAAATACAATCTTACACCAATTAGAATGGCATTATTAAAATGTCAAAAAATAACAAATGCTGGTGAAGTTGTGGAGAAAAAGGAAACACACACTGCTGGTGGGAATGCAAATTAGTTCAGCCATTGTGGAATGCATTGTGACAATTTCTCAAATAACTGAAATCTAAAGCTTAATTACCATTAAACCCGGCATTTCCATGATTGAATGTATACTCCCCATATAGACACATACACTACCATATAGACACAAGCATGCATATGTTTATTGTGACGCTATTCACAATAACAAAGACATGGAATCAACCTAAATGTCCATCAAAAGTAGACAGGATAGAATAAATGTGGTACTTATACATCATGAAGTACTATGCAGCCAGAAAAAATAACGAGATCATCTTCTTTACAGAAACATGGATAAAGCTGGAGGTCATTATCCTAAGTGAACTAACACAGGAACACAAATCCACATACCACATGTTTTAACTTATAAATGAGAGCTAAACATTGTGTTCATATGGACACAATGAAGGGAACAAAAGACACAAAGGCCCTAGTTAAGGGTAGAAGGAGGGAGAGTGAGGATCAAAAAACTATCTACTGGGTACTATGCTTATTACCTGGCTGGAGAAATAATCTATACACCAAACCCCTAGACAAGCAATTTATGTATCAGATTTGTACATGTACCCCTGAACCTAAAATAATAGTTAAAAAAATAAAATATTTAAAATAGCTGATTTAAAGTATATATTTTTTTGAGGTGGAGTGTCACACTGTCGCCCTGGCTGGAGTGCAGTGGCGTGATCTCGGCTCACTGCAACCTCTGCCTCCAGATTCAAGCAATTCTCCTTGCCTCAGCCTCCCAAGTAGCTGGGATTACAGGCACGCACCACCACCATGCCCAGCTAATTTTTTTGTATTTTTAGTACAGATGGGGTTTCACTATGGACAGGCTGGTCTCGACCTCCTGACCTCGTGATCCACCCACCTCGGCCTCCCAAAGTGCTGGGATTACAGGCGTGAGCCACCGTGCCCGGCCTTAAAGTATTTTTCTAGTATCTCCAACATCTGGGCTTTCTCATATGTTTTACTGATTGTTTTATTTCCCGTGTGGGGTTTACATTATCTTATTTATTTGAATGTTTCATTATCTTTTTGAAATCCAGTTATTTTAATTAATATAATGTGGTAAATCTGGAAATTAGATTCTCTTTCCTTGTTAGGGTTTTTTGTTGCTACTTTTTTAAAAAAATTGTTGTTTGTGTAGCGACTTTTTAACTTTTATAGACTTAGAAAATACAAGCTCAGTTTTGTTACATGGATATACTGTACAGTGGTAAATTCTGGACTTTTAGTGCAGCCATCACCCAAATTGTGTACATTGTGCTTATTAAGTAATTTCTCATACCTCACCCCTCCAACTTCCCACCCTTTCAAGTCACCAATGTCTACAAATTCACTCTCTATTTCCACATGTATTCATTATTTATCTCCCACTTATAAGTGAGAACATGCAGTATTTAACTTTCTATTTCTCTTTAGTGAATTTTCTGTTCTTTATCATGTATAGCAACTGAAATTTCTGATCCCTATTAGTGGTCAACTAGTAATTAGAAACACATATCTTTAAATATCTGGAACCTATAAATCCTTCAGTCTTTGCTAATGGGCCATGTGTGTTTGTTGGGGCATGCATTGAACACTGTGTTAGGCTTGTACACTCTTGCCTTAGCCTTTATTTTCTCCTTGCACAGAACTTCAAGTTCAGGCAGAAGAGTGTAGGGCTTTCTCAGGATTTTCCTTAGCATGCACACAGCTTTATGCATGCATATGAACTTCTGGATTCTCAACAGTACTACAGAGTTCTTCAACATCCATATGGACATGTCCTCCTAAGGTTTTCCATTTAAGCCTATTGATTTTTCTACTGTTTTCCCCATTATCTGTCACCTCAGGCAGCTGGGATGTTATAATGTTCAAAAAATGCCCCTAACAACAGGCTTGCACCACGTCAGCTGGGTGAGTTTGAGTCAGATCAAATGTAGGCAAACGTTTTGAGTGAGGTCTTCCAGAGAGCCACCAGACAAGTCAAATAATTAATATTCTTTGGGGCTTATGCTTTGAAAGTGCTCCAGCTTTCTTTTGCTCCCTTCAGTATTGAAAATGTGGGCCTTTAATTTTCAAGGATACTGCTGAACTGGTAATAAGAGATGGGACTAGAATAAATTAAAATGCCACAAAACTTACTGCTCTCACTGAGATTCAGATATATTTTTTCATTTACTAAACACTTGCTGGATTGTTGCAAGTTTTTGGTTAATTTCCAAAGTTCTAAAAATGTTGATTCTAAATTTTTTAAATTGCTTTTATGGAGGGGCAAGTTTTTGGAGGTCCTTACTTCATCATTTTGTATTCACTGACACCATACCTGTGAATTCACAATTTTTGCGAACGTGTCTGAAAATTTTATTCCTTCTTGCATCTTATTTTATTTTTGTTTAAATTACTCATTCATAACCTACTATTTAATGTATTCATCGGGCTTTTTTTTGATTACTACAATATTCATTTTTAGAATTTCCAGAGGTTTTTTTTTTTTCCAAATCTGCAATGTCTTTTAATTTTCTGTTTTTTTTTTTTTTGTTTTTTTTTTTTTTTTCCTGAAACTTGAACTTCATCTCAAAGAACATGGAAATTGTCTGGTAATTCCACTATATGCAGTACAAACATGTCGTCTGGTGTTTGTGGTAATGCATATTCATGTTGTTTTGTGTTTGCATGTATCTGATTATTTTTTGCTCCTATGTTGGACATTGGATTTGAAGAAAAAATATTTCTGGAAATAATTTAAGGCCTAGGATAATCTCTTCTCATAAAATGAACTTGTGTAAGCTTCTGCCAAGTTTCTAGCAAGTAACAACATAGTACCAGCTTCAGATTTGAGGACTTGAAATTTTTTAGTCCATCAAGATAACTTGAAGTTGGGTGGCAGTGTAAGTGATTTTGGAATTGTTTCAGGTTTGTCCTTACTACTTTGGTGTAGCTCTTCAGGGTTCCAACCATAAATGCTAAGGTTAATAGTTCTGGTAAAACCTGGGCTTCACATGTTGTTCTCCTGGATCTGTACATTTATCAAAATTTCTACTCAGCCTTACAGGTACCTTATTAGAAACAGCATAAGAAGCACTAAAAGGCAAGCTCTTCCCTCTGGACTCTCCTCTTCTTACATATCTTGGCTCAATAGTTCCTATCTGAGTCTTAATTGATTTATGAATGAGATGTTTTAAATGAATACTTTTCATTTCACCGTGTGGTTACAGTATACATGAGTTCAAATTACCAGTGTTCACTTAAATGGTACCAGTCTCCCAACAATATGACTTAGATTTTATTTACTATGGTATATTAACTATTAGTGATTTCTTAAAGTGCAAATGTCACTGCCAGCACTTTTGTCCACAAATCACTATATACAAAACAGATTTGCATTGTGATCAATGACCAATCATATTTCTTTCATAGTCTATCAGCAATTGGTCACTGTGCATGTATTATTCAGTTTATTCATCAAAAATGGCACATATTTATACTACCTTTTTGTCCCTCAGTGACAAATTCATGTGTTATTTTATAATAATAGGTAACTGAAATAAGGAATTGGTCAAGAAAAATCAAAGTCCATCAAAGAAATAAAAGTGCTAACGCTGGGAGTGAAATTCAAATCAAATGTAATGAGATTGTAGAAGAAATATCTAACTGTTGGAAGATTGAAACTGCCGCTATTAGAGACTCTAGAGCCAGAGGAACTTAGTGAAGGCAAACTTATTGGCATAAATGAGAAAAGTGGTTGTGATAAAAGGATGAAGATGTTCCAGAGCAAGTGATGCTGGCAAACAATTTTACATCAAAGTAACTCTTAGAGATTTTCATGACACTAAAATCAAAAAGGATAAAATGTACAAAGCTGATACAAACTTAAAATTGAGTATAACAATTCACCAATAAATAGAAAAGATGTGTTGTCCAAATTGTAAGTTCCATGACTAGAAGAAGGAGGACACTGCTGAGACCACTCTTAATACATCTTTACTAATAAAATATTTTAATTTCTCAGTATTTAAATACAGTGTACTAAGTAGATATTTGCTTTATAATTTTTTTCCATTTTTCTATTCACTTGTAACTGGCAGTAAAAATGTTTTTAATGTTTTAACCAAAAAGTTTTAAAATCACAAAGCAACTATATTTTTTCCCATTGATTATTACGATTTGTTTTGCATAGTGTCAGCTTGTATGGTCACTTTTATGTTCTCACATTACCGTTCAAAGCAAGGATTGACTGTATTTCACTTAGCTTTTTTTGTGTTTTTAGTGAGATATTTCGTTTAAATTAAATAAGTCTCCATTACCCTGCATGATTTTCAATAAAAAATTATACATGGTCTTATTTAATTTCCATAATGATTTGTAAGATACAGTGGGCAGGCATGGTTATGTTACTTTTTTATAGATATGTATATTAGTCAGTTCTTGCATTACTATAAAAATACGTGAGACCAGGTAATTTCTTTCTTAAAAAGTTTAATTGTCACACAGTTCTGCAGGTCATACAGGAAGCATAGCAGCATCTGCTGCTAGGTAGGCCTCAGAGAGCTTTTACTCATGATAGAAGGACAAGTGGGAGCAGCTGTCTTATATGGCAGGAGCAGGACCGAGAGAGAGGGGGAAGGTGCCACACACTTAAACAACCAGATCTCATGAGAAGTCTAACACAAAAACAGCACCAAATGGCTAATGCTAAATCATTAATGAAGGATTTACCCACATTGTATCAGTCTGTTCCCACATTGCTATAGAGAAATATCTGAGGCTGGGTAATTTAATGAGAAAAGAGGTTTAATTAGCTTACGGTTCTGCAGATTGTGAAGAAATCATAGCAGCTTCTGCGGAGGCCTCAGGAAACTTACAATTATGGCAGAAGGCAAAGTGTAAGCAGGCATCTTTACATGGCTGGAACAGAAGAAAGAGAAAGAAGCAGGAGGTGCTAAACACTTTTAAACAACCGTATATCATGATAACTCACTCATTATTATAACAACAGTACCAAGGGGGAAATCTGCCCTCATGATCCAATGACCTCCCACCATTCCCCACCTCTAACACTGGGGATTTCAATTAAACATGAGATTGGGGCAGGGACACAGATTTGAACGTTTCCTTCTGACCCTGGCTTTTCCAAAATCTCATGTCCTTCTAACATGGCAAGATATAATCATGCCTATACAACAGATGTAAGACTTAATGGAAAAATTTAACCCATTCCAGCATTAACTCGAAAGTCCACAGTCCAAAGTTGCATCTGAGAAAAGGCTAGTCTCTTCCCGCTATAGGCCTATAAAATAAAAAACAGTCTAGTGAATGCCAAGATACAATGGGGGTACAGGCATTAAGTAATATATATTCTCATTTCAAAGGGGAGAAATAAGCCAAAAAGGGGCTACAGGCCCCACACAAGTCTGAAACTCAGCAGGGCATTTATTAAGTCTTAAATAAGTTATTCTGGCTAGAGAAACTATTTTTAAACTGACAAAAATAAATCAATCAGTCAATGTATATTTATGATGCTCCTAATTGACATGTAGGTACTCTAAGAGACAGAAAAGGAGGAATGGGTGGTTCTTCCTTTCAAAGGGTTCATGATTTTATTAAAGCACAACATGAGGCATATACTCAAATGCAAGATTGTGTAGTTCAAAATCCACATTGTAAGATTTCAAATATAGAAACATCAAAAGGAAAATGATGCATAAAATTTGAACTATGTTGAACTTGAAAGCATGATTTAAATTGGGTTTCAAAAGGAAAAATGTAATAAGGACTCAAAAAGGGTGAAGGCCAAGAGCCAAACCAGGTCTGAGGCAATGAGCACTGTCTGTGCAAGAAGATTGACAGAGGCCTTGCTGTTTCTTGCTTGTTAGTTTTTCTGTTCTTAGGAAGTGGTTAGGAAGAAGAAATGTTGGCAACCCTGTCTCTAAGATGAATTGATTACATTCAACTAATCAGAAGGAGACTCACCTCTGGAGACCAAAATTTGTTTAGGAAGCTTCAAGAAAACTGTCTTTGAAATGGGATTTCCATCACTTCAGCATTATACTTGTATTGAAAATTCTCAATAGCTACCTTTCTTCTGGTTCCTGTCAAAACATTCCCAACAGAAAAGTAAACAGTCCCATAAAAATGTATTAAAAGCTCAGAAATAACTCTGAAAAGTTTGACCATACAAATCATGTCTAAAAAAAGTTTAATATACAGCACTATAAAAACTATTAACAATATCCCATATGTTCCCTATGTTGCCATTTCATAGCTACAGGGTAAAAGTATGAAAGTAGAAATTTATAGAAGTAATTTTGAAATTTCCAAGTATCTGTACAGAATTACTAATGTCACTGTAATTACATTATTGGAATCAAACACATAATTACTATAATTATCGGCTGAATAAAATTTTATACAGTGATTTTGGAAAACAGCTGCTCGAAATGTTAACCATATATTTATTATATGACCCAATAATTCCACTCCTAAGAATATGTCCAAAAGAATTAAAAGGGGTCAGGCGTGGTGGCTCACGCCTGTAATCTTAGCACTTTGGGAGGCCGAGGTGGACGGATCACGAGATCAGGAGCTCGAGACCATCGTGGCTAACACGGTGAAACTCCGTCTCTACTAAAAATACAAAAAAAAAAAAAAAAAAAATAGCCGGGCGTGGTGGCGGGCGCCTGTAGTCCCAGCTACTCGGAAGGCTGAGGCAGGTGAATGGCGTGAACCTGGGAGGCGGGGCTTGCAGTGAGCCGAGATCGCGCCACTGCACTCCAGCCTGGGCGACAGAGTGAGACTCCGTCAAAAAAAAAAAAAAGAAAGAATTAAAAACATGTTGTTACATTATTGTTCCTGGAAGCACGATTCATAATAGCAAAAAGGGAAACAATAAAATTTTTAATCAACTGAAGAATGGGTAAATAAAATGTGGCATATACTAAAAATGGAATATTACTTGACAATAAAAAGTAAATAAAGTATAGCATTCATGTTTATACATGCTACAATATGGATGAAGCTTGAAACCATTATGCTAAGTAAAAGAAAACAGTTACAAAAGACTGCATATGATGTGTATCATTTATATGAGATGGTCACAACAGGCAACTATGTAGAAGTGGAAAGTAGATTAGCGGTAGTGTGAATTGGGATGTTGACATGGAAAGAGGAGTAACTACTAATGAGTATGGAATTTATTTCTGTAATAATTAAAATGTTCTGATATAGTGGTTTTGATTCCGCAACTCTGTAAATATACTAAAACCCATCAAATTGTACACTTTAATCAGATGAAATTTGTTGTTTGGAAGTCGAATCCTGATAGAGCTGTTTAAAAGAGATAGGTAGGATATAGAAACATGATTTTGACTCTGTAATCAATATTATCAAATATACTTGCCCTTAACTAAAGAATCCTATGTGACCTGTCTCCTACATACCTCGTCTATGAAAACATCCCTGTGTTTATTTTGCTTACTTTGTTCCAGTCATGTTGGCCTGTATAACAATAAGCTTCATCCTAACTTAAGGGCTTTGTGTTAGATTTTCACTAGAACTTTGTAAAATTTAGGGCTTAGTTCTGAGCTTTAACCTCAGAAAGTCTGCCTTTTACTATATAATCAAAAACAGCCTTTTCTGACTCCAAATCACTTTGTTGCATCACACTGTATTTTTATCTTCGTTGCATTCATAATTATGAGAAGTGATCATGTTTGTTATTTGTTTTTGCTAACAACCTGCCATCATCCATTCTCTTTCTATGGCCCTCCTCTTGACCCCATAACTAGACTGTAAGCTTCATAATGGAAAAAACTTTATTTGTCTTGTTCATGTCTATATTTCCATTAACAGTAACAATTTCCCTCATAGATAGAAATTCAATAAATATTTTGAATGCTTATTGCATAAGACTAGTTAATATCCTCAGAAAAATTTTGAAAATATTGTATTTTTAAGGTCATATTTTAATACAGATACAACCTTACTCAGCAAACCAAAGCATACACCAAGACAACTGCCTTTCTAATTACAACCATTTCAACTAATACCCTGATATAGCTTGAGTACTCAAAAAAATGAGAAAGTGGGCAAGAATAGATGTTACTGAGAGCTCTGAGTAAATTATTGGTGTGATATTTGGCTAAAAGGAACTAGGGTTATTATTTGAATTATCTTTTTTATTCAGCAGCCTTTGTCAGGCTTAGTGGCAATCTCAGTACAATCTGTTAAGAGACAGGACATTTGTTTACAGTATTGATAAACTGACATAACTATGTGCTAAAAAGTTTTTTAACATGAGCCAGGAATTGAGACTTTTGGGAGAACCAAATACAAATCAGGCTAGCATTCATGGGGACCAGAAGAACATATGCTGTTTGCTTGATGACTTCTACTTGCCTCTGGACATAATTTTAAATGACATGCTTTTTTATGTTTCATGCCTTAGTCTCCATAAGAAAGCCACCTATCATTTTAAGAATAAATCGGAGCTGTGAAGGTAATATGCAAAATCATTTACATTTGTTTATATGTGACTGACATAACTAAGCTGGGACTCCATTAGACAAAAAAAAAACAGTGTATATAAAAATTATATTAGACCAAGGCTTTATTTGTGTAGTAGGGGAAAACAGTTATGAGGAGTCAAAAAACCTGCTTGCTAGTCACAACTTTGCCAGTTACTAGTATTGTGGCTTGAGCAAGTCATTCTCTTCTCTGATTATCAGTTTTCTCATCAGTAATAGAAGAAACTGCTTTTAACTTCAAAATTATCAGATCCTATTCATCTAAGGTAATATCAGTAAACCTGACTTTTTAGTATGTAATGTGTCTACCAGGCTTTCCTTACTTTGATTTGAATTAGTATGTACACTGTATCAATACATCGCGGTTAAAGGCTGGGTACGGTGGCTCATGCCTGTAATCCCAACACTTTGGGAGGCCGAGGCAGGTGGATCACTTGAGTTTGAGACTAGCATAGCCAACATGGTGAAACGCTGTTTCTACTAAAAATACAAATATTAGGTGGACATGGTGGCACACGACTGTAGTCCTAGCTACTCGTAAGGCTAAGGCAGGAGAAATGCTTGGCCCTGGGGGGCAGAGTTTCCAGTGAGCGGAGATGGTCCCACTGCACTCCAGCCTGGGCCACAGAGAGAGACTCCATCCCCCCCCAAAAAAATTGAGGTTAAAATAACAAATATTGAAGTCAGAGAGACTTGGGTTCTAGTCCTTGTTCTGCCATTTTCTACCTGTGTGACCTTCAGCTAGTTTATCATCCAGGTTTCAATTACCTCATGTTTAAAATGATACTAATAATAATCCTGACCTCATAAGGTTTTTGTGAGAGTAAAATAAAATAATGCATGTATGTGCTTTATATAGTGCCTAGGACATACTAGGCATTCAGTAAACCTTAGCTGTCAAAAGAGAAGAATAATTTTCCTTAATTCAAGTATACTCTTATCATACCATTATTCTGGGACCCGATTCTACACAGGGATTCCAATTTCATTTTTTTTAGTATGTATTTACATGCTACTGGGTAACTGCTTCTAAGTCACTTTCATATTTTTATGTGACTTTTAGCTACTAAAAGTCAAGAATTTAACACTTTTCCTTGATCTCTCTGCATAAAAATTAGCATAAGGCTTCACACACAAAATTTACTTGCTTCTTTAATCTTAACTGTATTAGTAAGTGCCAAACAAAAAGTAGAGTGCTGACTGCTTAATATATAGTAAACATTGCATAGAAGGAAGCCTGTGACATATCTCTGAAAGGTACACTTACACTTCTGAAAAACTATTTATCAAAATTCAAAACTGGTTACAGTTTAATCCAGAGTAAGCCTCTAATATGACTCTCTGGGGAACAGTGAACAATTTTAGGAGAAGAAATTGAGTTCATATTTAATTGGAGAAGATAATTCCTTGCCAACAAAATGCTGAGAAACTTGAGTAGAAAGAAAGTTTCCAGGTTTAAGGATATGGCAAGTTTATCTTACTTGGAGAATTTTAAGTAGCTTTGTTTACACTTTATAAAGCTGAAGTGTGTGTGTGTGTGTGTGTGTGTGTGTGTGTGTGTGTGTGTTGGAGGGGTTGTGATTACAGGAAGTAAAATGTTGTTGAATAGAAATGGATGACCTTATGAACATTTTATTCAGAAGTTAAAAAAGATCGCTGCCAGTGTTGGTGGGGCCATCCTCCATTTCAAGTTAACCACATAAGCAAATTTTTATGTTACCTTTTTATATAGACTTTATAAAATGTAGACATTCACTGCATCTCAGATATATTGCCATCATGACTGCTTAGACTAGTAATTCTCGTTAAAGAACTTAAAAAGTCCAACTTTTTCATATTATAAATGGAGAAATTGAGGCTTAGCATAGAAAGGGGCCTTGCCTAAGAGATACAAAGTAGCAGAGCTATGCCACACAAATATGTCTCCCACTTTAAACTGAGTGGAAATTCCACTGAATGTGTTCACATTCTGAGACATAGCTTTCTATATCTCCTATTATTTTAAGGCAGAATAATCATTCGTGAAAATATTTCATTGCGTTAGTATCCATAGCTGAGGATACTGGCTGTGGCTGGCTGTGACCATAAGGTCTCATTTTCTACCAGATAGCCAACAAGAATGAGTATGTTTCACTTCCATATTTATGTGACAATCAGTGAGAAGATTTATATAAAACTTTTTCATTCCTTCTGAAAAAAAAAATTGTGGTTTAATGTAATGTCTGCCACTTTAAGTTACTCTCTTCAGTGGCTATAGGGATAAAGGCCAAGTTAGAATATAACTAAAATGACTAATTCAGCAATAAGTAATTAATGATTAACTAAGTTGAACTGTAATTAATGATTTATTCTAACATTTTGCTAATCAAAAGTGTTACATAAAGAGCAGCAGTATTGACATCACCTAAGAATTCGTTAGAATTGCAGAATTTCAATTCCAACTCCAGCCCCTTTAAATCAGAATCTGATCTTTAAAAAACCTCCCTCCAGAATCTTTATGAAAGACCTCCCTCCAGAGTATTTATAAAGACTATTTAATAAAAGAGGGCTGAGTTTAAGTGACCTGATTTATTTGCTCTAGATACAATTCAGGTCCCAAATGAAAGGTTAAATCTTTTTGAAAAATCAGATTAAATAGACAGAAGGTATTTCTCAAATCTGTATTCGTTTCCCACTGCTCCTGTAACAAATTGCCCCAAATTTTATGGCTTAAGAAAATGCACAAATTTATTATATCACAATTTTGGAGACTATATTTCTAAAATGTGTCCACGCTGCTGCATTACTTTTGAAAGCTTTTGTCTAGAATCTTTTTTTCTTTTTCCAGCTTCTAGAGGTCACGTACTTTACTTGGCATATGGCCCCTTCATCTTCAAAAGCCAGAAGCACAGCAACCTTTTTACTGTCTTCCTCATTTTCTTTTGAGCACGCATCATCAGCATCTTTAACAACTGTACTACTACCAACAGTCTGTTTATGACTATGTATGCATTCTCTTCTTTTCTACTATGTTCTTCCTTTCCGTCTGAAACCTTGACAGCAGTCTTTAACATTTATACGTATACTCACACTGCATTAAAAAAAATTAGGCTTTTGCTAATATACTCCTCAAAATTTTCCCAGCATCCACTCATTACCTAATTCCAAAGCCAGATCTAAATTTTTTAAGTATTTGTTACAGCAAATACAAATAACACCTGACATTCACAATTGTCATGAGACTATAATGAACCTCTAAATGTATAAATTTTATTTTGGTGTACAGCTTTTCTGATAAAATAATAAAGTATAACTGGAGAACCTGTTATGTAAATAAGGTTTGCTTTAATCATTTTGTAGCATAGTAGAAAATGCATAATAGGCATTTCATGAAGTTTTTAGATTCTTGCTCTGCCACCCACGCTGAAGTGCAGTGGTGCAATCACAGCTGACTGCATCCTCGACCTCACAAGTAGCTGGGACTACAGGTATGTGCCACCACACCTGGCTAATTTTTGTGTTTTCTGTAGCGACAAGGGTTCTCCCTGTTGCCCAGGCTGGTCTCAAGTGATCCACTCGCCTTGGCCTCACAAAGGGCTGGTATTAAAGACATGGGCCACCCCGCCCAGCCGATTTTTAGATTTAAATGCAACAGAAACAGCACTGGTTTCAGGAGCCAGGAAACTGCTGTCTTGCCTTTGTCTCCAGATGAATAAATGATTTTATATAGGTCTTAGTTTCCCACCTTTGAAATATAATATTTCCCGTAATTCTTGAGATTGGTATAATAATTTAATGAGATAATTAATGTGAAAACACTACACATTGTTTACAAGGTACTTCTATTTCAGTGAGAAACTGTTGTGGCGGTTAGACCAATAGACTAAATATGAAGTGCTATTTTGTATTAAAAGTGTAGCCAGAAAAAAGAAGTAGCCAAAGCTACTTTTGAGAAAATGAGAAATTTTAAAATTTATAATTCCAATTTTAAGGTGTACTGTTTATTCCTTTAGTCACTTAATAAGTCTTTCTTATCTCCATAAATATAGGAACAACCTTTACCAGATTTCTAGATTTAAAATTCATCTAAGTAGTTATCAAGTGTGTGATAACGTGTTGGAGTAGAAACAATACTGCATCTGGAATAAGATGACCTGAATTCTAGTTGTAGTGCTTTTGCTAATTTGTATAGTGTGTGTGTGTGTGTGTGTGTGTCCAAGAACGTATGCATGTAATACATAGTGATCATATCAGAATAATTTGGTATTCTTTAACAAATATTTCCATATCCTTTTTAGATATTTTGTGATCGTTCCAGCTGAATTTGATTTATCTTTTCTTCACAAGCAGGGTTTTTGATTTCAGAAATGCTACAAAGGTTTTGGCAGTCTAATTATCTGTCATCACCAATTATCTGTGTAGACTTTGGGTACATTGTTTTACCTCCCCATTCCACATTTTGTTCATTGGTAAGTAAGGATATTGGATAAAATAATTTCCAGGTTTCCTCTGGCCTTAATATTTTGTGATTCTATTTTTGTAAATTCACAATCTAATGATAGAATTTCTTCAAATTGATAGAAAATATATATGAATAAATATTAAAATAATTTAAAATGGGAAGGGTAGGCCTTATGAAAGGAAAAAACAGGTTGGGAAAATTGGCTTTCTCCTTTTTATAAGAAACACGTCATATTCTGTATTTAAAATTGCTATTTTTTTATGTTATAAAATATAGAAAATGTTCCATACAAAATACTGGGTGAGAAATTGCAAATACAATGTTGCAGTGAAATGAAAGTGAGCCTATACTTAAAAATAAAGTTGGGGAGGGGGCCAAGGTGGCCAACTAGAAGCAGCTACAGTGTGTGGCTCTCACAGAGAAGAACAAAAGGGGTGAGTAAACACAGCATCCTCAACTGAAACATCCAGGTATTTGCATTAGGACTCATCAGGGAAACAGCTCAATCCACGGAGAACAGAGAAAGGTAAATCAGGGTGATGGCCCACCTGAGTGCAACACGGAGCCAAGGGAACCTCCCCCTGACCCAGGAAGTGGTGAGTAAATCTGCGACCCTGGGAAACCACACTTCTCCCATGGATCTTTGCAATCCTCGGGTCATGAGATACCCTGGCAAACCTCGTCCATCAGGGCCTTCTGTCTGACACACAGAGCTGCGTGAAGTCTCAGCAGAGCAGCTGTTCAGGCACCCACAGAGTCCCAGGAGCTTTACATACTCTGCCTCCAGGATCCCCGGCAAAGGTGACTGCAACTCAAGTAAGGCAGGAGGTTGGACCTCCAAATATACCAGTAGGAAGGGAGCTGAAACCAGGGGGCCAAGCAGCATCAGCCTGTGGGTCCCACTTCCATGTTACCTCACAGGATAAAACTCACAGGCTTGGAATTCCAGCCAGCCCCCGGCAACAGTGTTGCACCTACCTTGGATGGGACAGAGTTCCCTGGGAGAGGGCCTGGCTACCATCTTTGCGGTTTGGATGACAGCTGTTGCAGCTTGTGGGTTTAGGAGAGTCCAAATCAAAATATTCAGGGATGGAAGGGATCCCCCACCAGAGCACAGCTGTTCTACCAAAACAGAGCCAGACTGCTGCTTTAAGCTGGACTCTGATGTGCTCTTTATCTCTGGGCAAGACCTCCCAGCTGGGAGCTCCAGCCCTCCCCACCCATATTCTCCAGCAGAGTTTTTATTTCTCCCCGGAATGAAGTGCCTGGGGATAGAATTGGGCTGCCATCTTTCCTGTTTGAATAACTCTGCCCTTTCAGCCTGAGGGCTTAGGAGAGTCCAAGGCATGCCTCCAAAGCCTGGAGGCTGGAAAAGTTAAATTGCCAAAACAGCAAAGACGACAGCGGCCCTGGTAGAAGGGATTACTCAGCAAAGCACAGCCGCTCTACCAGAATGCAGCCATACTGCTTCTTTAAGCAGGACCCTGATCCACTCCTCATATCTAGGGGGCACCTCCCAACCAGGGCCCTAGAAAGCATGGCCAGACTGCTTCGTTAAGTGGATCCCTAATCTATTCCTCCTCACTGGGCAGGACTTCCCAAGCAAAGCCTGCAGCCATTCCCACTGATGTTCTCTGGCCAACAGTGGTTTGAAAACTGCCTGGACAGAGTTCCTAGGAAGAGGGGTGGGCCGCCATCTTTGTTATTTTAGCAACTTAGATGTTCCAGCCTCCAGGCTTTAGAGAGCCCAACCTGATGAGTGGTGCAAACGGTACTCCAGCACAGCACCACTGCTCTGTGAAAGAGGGGCTAGACTGCTTCTTTAAGTGGGTCCCTGATCCCATTCTTCCTGGCTGGGTGAGACTTCCCAACTAGAGTCTCAATCCTCCTTCTACAGGTGCAACTTGGGTGGCAACAGGTTTGTACCCCCCAGGAATGGAGCTCACAGAGGAAGGGGCAGGCTGCCACCTTTGTTGTTTTGCAGCCTTCACTGGTGATACCTTCAGGTACTGGAAAATCCAAGGTGACTAATGACTGGAGTGGACACCCAGCAAACCATAGCAGCTCTAGAGAAAAGTGGCCAAACTGTTAAAAGAAAAAAACACACAAAAAAACCCCAAAACTTCATTGAGAGATCAGCAATGTCAAAGATTGAAGGTAGATAAGCCCACAAAGATGAGAAAATCAGCACAGGAACACTGAAAACTCAAAATGTCAGAGTGCCCCCTCTCCTTCAAATGACAACATCACCTCTCCAGCAAGGGTTCAGAATGGGGCTGAGGCTGGGATGGCTGAAATCAAAATGTGGATAAAAACGAGCTTCACTGAGCTAAAGGATCACATACTTACTCAATGAAAAGAAACTAAAAATCACAATAAAACATTGCAGGAACTGACAGACAAAATAGCCAGGATAGAGAAGAACATAAACTGATCTGACAGAGCTGAAAAACACAATACAAGAATTTCATAATGCAACCACAAGTATTGGTAGTGGGATGGACCAGGGGGAGGAAATAATCTCAGATCTGGAAGACTGTGTTTCTGAAATAAGACAGGCAGACAATGAACAAAACCTCTGAGAAACATGGAATTATGTAAAGAGACCAAATCTATGACTGATTAGTGTACCTGTAACATCTGGGGAAAATTTAACCAATTTTGAATGCATATTTCAGGATATCATGCCTGAGAACCTCCTCCACCTTGCTAGACAGGCCAACATTCAAATTAAGGAAATGCAGTGAACCCCATTAAGATACTCCACAAGATCATCCCCAAGAAGCATTATCATCAAATTATTTAAGGTTGAAATGAAAGAAAAAGTGGTAAGGGCATCCAGAGAGAAAGGTTAGGTCACATACAAAGGGAAGCTCATCAGACCAACAGTGGACTTTTCAGTGGAAACCCCACAAGCCAGAAAAGATTGAGGCCAATATTTAACATTCTTAAAGAAAAGCAGTTCTAACCCAGAATACCATATCCAACCAAACTAAGCTTCATAAATGAAGGATAAATAAGAGCCTTTCCAGACAAGCAAATTCTGAGGTAATTCATTAACCACCAGATATTTTTTAAATCTTGAAGGAAGCACTAAATATGGAAAAAAAAACACACTACCAGCCACTACAAAAACACACTGAAGTACACAGTCCAGTGACACTGTAAAGCAACCACAAAAACAAGTCTGCAAAGTAACCAACTAGCATCATGATGATAGGATCAAATCCAGAGATAAGAATTATAATTAAATATAATTTAATTTAATTATAATTAAATTAAATATATTTTAAATATAATTAAAAATATAATTAAATTAATATAATTTAATTTAATTATAATTAAATATAAATGAGTTAAATACCCCAATTAAAAGACACAGAGTAGTAGTAAGCTAGATAAAGAGCCAAGACTCATTGCTATGCTGACTTCAAGAGACTCATATCATGTGCAAAGACACACCTAGGCTCAAAATAAAGGGATAGAGAAAATTTTACCAAGCAAATGGGAAACACAGAATAGCAGGGGTTGCAATCCTACTTTCTGATGAAACAGACTTTAAGCTAACAAAGATCAAAAAAGACAAGGGCATTACACAATGGTAAAGGGTTCAATTCAATAAGAAGAGCTAACTATCCTAAACATACACTGCACCCAACACAGGAGCAAGCACCTAGATTCATAAAGCAAATTTTTAGAGACCTTCAAAGAGACTTAGACTTGCACATAATAATAGTGGGAAACTTTAACACCCCACTGACAATATTAGACAGATCATCAAGACAGAATAGTAACAAAGATATTCAGGACCTGAACTCAGCTCTGGATCAAAAGGACCTGACACATATCCACAGAACTCTCCACCAAAAACCAACAGAATATATATATTATTCTCATTGCCACATAGTGCTTACTGTAAAATAGATTACATAATTAGATGTAAAACACTCCTCAACAAATAGAGAAGAACTGAAATCACAACAAGCAGTCTCCTGGATCACAGCACAATTAAATTAAAACTCAAGACTAAGAAATTCACTCCAAACCATACAATTACATGGAAATTGAATAACCTGCTCCAGAATGACTTTTGGATAAATAATGAATTTAAGGCATAAGCCAAGAAGTTCTTAGAACCTAATAAGAATATAGAACATACAAGAATCTCTGGGATACAGCTAAAACAGTGTTAACATAGAAGTTTATAGCACTAAATGCCTGCCCACATCAAAAAGCTAGAAAGATCTCAAGTTTACAACCAAAGATCTCAACTAAAAGAACTAGAGAACCAAGAGCAAACAAATCCCAAAGCAAGCAGTAGAAAATAAATAACCAAAGTCAGAGCTGAACTAAAGGAGATTGAGACATGAAAAATCATTCAAAAGACAGACATAACTAGAAGGTGGTTTAAAAAAAAATAGAACACTAGCTACCTTAATAAAGAAGAAAAGGGAGAAGATTCAAATAAACTCAATCAGAAAAAATAAGAGAAATATTACTACTGACTTGACAGAAATACAACCAACCATCAGAGCATATTTAAAAAAAAAGACCACTGGTCGGGCGCGGTGGTTCACACCTGTAATCCCAGCACTTTGGGAGGCCGAGACGGGCGGATCACAAGGTCAGGAGATCAAGACTGTCTTGGCTAACATAGTGAAACCCCGTCTCAACTAAAAATACAAAAAAATTAGCCAGGCTTGGTGGCAGGTGCCTGTAGTCCCAGCTACTCAGGAGGCTGAGGCAGGAGAATGGCGTGAATCTGGGAGGCAGAGCTTGCAGTGAGCTGAGATCACACCACTGCACTCCAGCCTGGGCGACAGAGTGAGACTCTGTCAAAAACAAAAACGAAAACAAAAACAAAAAAACCCACTATGCAAATAAGGTAGAAAATCTAGAAGAAATTGATAAATTCCTGTACAGATACAACCCTCAAGAAGAAATTGAATCCCTGAACAGACCAACAATGAGTTTGGAAATTGAGGCAGTAATAAATAGCCTACCAACCAAGAAAAGCTCAGGACCAGATGTATTAACAGCTGGGCTGGCACCATTCCTACTGAAACTATTTTTTAAAATAGAAAAGGAGGGACTTCTTTCTAATTCATTCTATGAGGCCAGCATTATCCTGGTACCAAAACCTGGCAGAGACACAAGAAAAAAAGAAAACTTCAAGCCAATATCCTTGATGAACATTGATGCAAAAATCAACAAAATACCAGCAAACCGAATTCAGCAGCACATCAAAAAGCTTATCCATCATGATCAAGTTGGCCTCATCTCTGGGATGCAAGGTTGGTTCAACATAAGCAAATCAATAAATATAATTAATCACATAAATATATCTAAAGGTAAAACCACACAATTATCTCAATAGATGCAGAAAAAAACTTTTGATAAAAGTAAACATTCCTTCATGTTAAAAATTCTCAGTAAAGTAGGTATTAAAGGAATATATCTCAAAATAATAACACCCATGTATGACAAACCCACAGCCAACATCATATGGAATGGGCAAAAGCTGAAATCATTCCCCTTAAAAACTGGTACAGACAAGGATGCCCTCTCTCACTATTTCTATTCAACACACTATTGAAAGTTCTGGCCAGAGCAATGAAGCAAGTGAAAGAAATAAATAGCATTCGAATAGGAAGAGAGGAAGTCAAACTATTCCTGTTTGCAGATGAGACAATCCTATATCTAGAAAACCCCATTGTCTCAGCTCAAAAGCTTCTTAAGCTTAGAAGCAACTTCAGCAAGTCTCAGGATAAAAAAATCAATGTCAAAAAATTACTAGCATTTTTATACACCAACAACAATCAAGCTAAGAACCATATCACCAATGGACTCCCATTCACAATTGCCACAAAAAATAATAAAATAAGAATACAGATTACAAGAGAAGTAAAAGATCTTTCTTTACAAGGAGAACTACAAACCCCTTCTCAAAGAAATCAGAGATGACACAAACAAATAGAAAAACATTCTATGCTCATAGATAAAAATATTCAAAATTGTTAAAATGTCCTTACTGCCCAAGTAAGTTTTCCCATTAAACTATCACTGACATTCTTTGCAGAACTAAAAAATTTATTTTAAAATTAATATGAAACCCAAAAAAGCACCCAAATAGCCAAGACAATCCTAAGCAAAAAGAACAAAGCTGAATGCATCATGCTACTCAACATCAAATTATACTACAGGGCTACAGTAAACAAAAGAGCATGGTACCAGTACGAGAACAGACACATAGACCAATGGAACAGAATAGAAAACTCAGAAATAAGAGTTTCCACCCCTACCTATTTTTGACTTTGACAAACCTGAAAAAAAAAACAAGCAATGATGAAAGGACTCCTAGTCAATAAAAGGTGCTGGGATAACTGACTAGCTAGTTGCAGAAAACTGAAACTAGACCTGTTCTTTACACCATATACAAAAATTAACTTGAGATGGATTAAAGACTTAAATGTAAAACAGAAAACTATAAAAACCCTGGAAGACAAACTAGGCAATACCATTCAGGACATAGGTCCAGGAAAAGATCTCATGTCCCAGATGCCAAAAGAAATTGCAACAAAAGCAAAAATTGACAAATAGAATCTAATTAAACTAAAGAGCTTCTGCATAGCAAAAGAAACTATCAACAGAATAAATAGACAACCTACAGAATGGTAAAAAATATTTGCAAGTCATGCATCTGCCAAAGGTCTAATATCCAGCATATATAAGGAATTGAAACAAATTTACAAGCAAAAAAAAACATTAAAAAGTGAGCAAAGGATATGAACAGACACTCCTCAAAAGAAGACATACATGCAGCTAACAATCATATAAAAAAATTCTCCAAGTCACTGATCATTAGAGAAATGCAAATCAAAACTACAATGAGATACCATCTCACACCAGTCAGAATAGTGATTATTAAAAAGTCAAAAAATAACAGATGCTGGCTAGGATGTGGAGAAAAAGGAACACTTTTATACTGTTGGTGACAGCATAAATTAGTTCCACCTTTGCGGAAAACAGTATGGTGATTCCTCAAAGAGCTGGAAGCAGAACTACCATAGGACCCAGCAATCCTATTACTGGGTATATACCCAGTGGAACATAAAGCATTCTATCCTAAAGATACATGCATGCTTACCTTCTTTGTACCACTATTCACAATAGCAAAGACATGGAATTGACCCAAATTCCCATCAGTGATAGACTGGATAAAGAAAATGTGGTATATATACGCCATGGAATACTATGCAGCCATAAAAAGTGAACACAATCATGCCCTTTGCAGGAACATGGACGGAGCTGGAGGCCATTATCCTTAGCAAATTAATGCAGGAACAGAAAACCAAATACAGCAGGTTCTCACTTATAAGTGGGAACTAAATGATGAGAACACATGGACACATTAGAAGGGAGCAACATGAACTGGAGCTTATCAGGAGCTTGGAAGATGGGAAGAGGGAGAGAAGCAAGTAATATAACTAATGGCTCCAATTAATCCCCGTGACACATGTTTACCTACGTAACAAACCTGCACATCCTGCAATGCACCCCTGAACTTAAAAGTAAAAAAACAAACAAAAAAAGTTGGTTTTGCTATTGAGGCTATTTCATGAAAGAAGTTTATTAACTATTAATTTGGGCACATTTTTCTGTCCACATCAATGTATGAATAACAATGTTAAGCAAATTGAGTGTGAATTGTTGTGACATATGAGTAAACATCTAATCACATATCAGTTATTGGTTAACTATATTCAGTCATCATCTTTTTTATATAACAAGGGAGGCTTTACCTACTGATTTTCTCTCAGCCTATTTCTTGCTTTGATTTGAAGATAATGATTTGGTAGATTATGCTCACCTGACCCCTCTACTTCTAGGATTTTTCTGCTTGTACTAAAAGAAACTGGAAGATTTTGTTTGCTGATACTTGTTTTAATTGGGGAATAGTAATAGTTGAGTAGTAGGGCTGGTTTTAGGCTTAATCAGTTTAAAAATTTCTGAGAGTTCTGCATTCATTCTTCTCCCCAACCCCATCCTTATCTTTTTCTTTGCTTTGCCATGATCTTCACTTCCTGAGTGATTTTGCTGTTGCCACTTAGTTGTAATAATCCTGGAAATGTGCTAGAGAGTTAAACATAGTTTACTGTTATGTCAGCAGACTACCATTCTATTATGAATGCTTTATTTTTTTTTTAAATTTATGGTCAACATCTTTTTCCCTTTTGCAGTGACAAAATTTAAGTAGAGTGCATCCAACAGTTTTTGCCCCAGGAAAGGACTTTCCCTGAAAGCCTGCTTATCCTTTACCTCTTTACTGCTATCAAAGAAAAACACCTGCTAACAACAATGGAAACCATTTCCAAAAGAAGCTGTAGAATGAGAGGCATTTGAAACATATTTTCTGTAGTGGGAATTTTATCATTTTTCTAATATCATCTTATTCTTCCCCCATGGGTTAGCTGCCATGAGATTTGAATGCAATTGTTCCATCCTCAGCTCCAAGGGTGGACCGTGATGAGTCTAGGCCAGTTAGATTAATCCTAGCTTATTCAAAAAAGGGATTCACTACTAGGGATCCAATCGTCATGTAGTTCAGGACTCTTCATGAGTTTAAGGAAGGGATGATTTCTGCCTCCTACTAGACTTGAATGAGGAAGCATGTAGACTTCGTCCAATACTTTGAAATACAGAGCAGAGATTGGGTATTATTACTTAAAGATATCACTGAGCCTTACCATCAGTCTTCCCTTTCAAATATGTGAGTCAATAAATTGTCATTTTATAAGCAAGTTTGAGTTGGTTTGCTGGAAATCTGAAGCTTTCTAACTGCTACATATTCAGTTTTAAAAGTCAATCAGAGCATTTTACGTAGTTTCATGTCAGTCATCTTTCTTCTTACAATTCATATGATGATGATGTTTCATCCTATCTTAGAGTCAAGAAAATAGTAAATCCTTGACTGACATGAGGTGTGCCTCTAACATTCCTGGGAATGTGAACAAACATTCTAAGACTAGAACATTTGAAAAAATGTATTATTTATTAAGAGTATAGTAACAGTTTGAAGATTCAAGTTTCTCAGAAAAATAAAATTAAAACAATGAAGACTTGATTGCTTTACTGATGATATTTTAGAGAACCTCACGTGTCATAATATTGCAATTGGGATAATATTAGATGATATGTAACAGAAGTGCTTTATATTCAAATATCATCAAGAAACTGTTTCATAGCACCTCTTGATAGCTGTATATGCAAATGTCATTCTTACCATGCATAGGGTTCTTGCTAACCAGAAGAGTAGAACACGGGTAAGGTAAGACAAAGCATATACAGATTTTTAGATACATTAGCCATACCTACACTATAAAAAGTTATAGTAGTTATTTCAATGGCTTGAGGGCTATATTCTTCAAGGGGAAGAGTCACTTTCAGAGATCGTGTTCCTTAAAATCTATCCAAATATAGGCCAAGAATTGTTGGAATTCACATCTTCTATCAAGTAATGTTACTATCCCCACAATGTTAAAGACCAGTATTATTATAGCTTACTCAGAGATTACAGGGCAAACTATATCTGGAAAATATAGTACTTGCAAAAGAACTTTTAAAACGCTGAAAGAGAAATATAAAAAAATGAAACTGTTGAGTTTCTGAGTACAATGTGAATAAAGAAAATAAACAGCAATCTTTGTCCACAACACAACCCAGTGGGCTGGAAAAAATGACTCTCTCTGTGTTTTCCCACAGAACTTTGCTTACTCCATGAATAATGCCATATAATTTATTACTGTGTTTTATAACTGTCATACACAATTGCAGCTTTCTAACTAGAAAAGCAACATCAATTTTGAGGTTGTCTCAACTGGTACAATAACCCTAGTGTTGATATGATGGGCTAAGCGGGGACAATTGAAATTCTGATGTCATATTTCTCATTTTTTTTACATAGATTTCTGGTATGTTGAAATGTTGTAGCAATTTAGAAAGCCTTTGGTCCCAGTTTTAACCACAATTGAGAAGTCAGTTTTCTGAACTAACACCAGGAGTTGGTAAAAAAGGTTAATGACAATAATTTATAATGAGCTCCATGCAAATCAGAAATCAAAATTCCTGGAATGAAGCTGAGTTGGGAACATAAGGGGATACACATATATTAAACATTGATTCTGTAACAAGGTGACATAGATACATTTTATTCAATAATGTTAGTGTAATTCCAGATTATTTTTGTTGATCTGTCTACATAGATGGTGGCCCTTAGGTCTTCCCCTGAGAGAGTATTAAACATATCATTTGCCCTTTTACAGGAATTGCAGGCAGGATTCAAAGGTAATTCAACTGAACCAGCAATTATTGAGGGTTATTTTGTGCCTATGTACCAGAAACTTTACTAGACTTATAGAAGATTAATGAAATATAGCATCAGCCTTTAAGATGTTCATATATTCTACAAATTAATAAGGACCTTCTTGATTGTGAACTAAACCTGATACCAAATTATTTGCACGTATCTAATACAAACCTCAAATTCTAACTGTAACCCAATCTTTTGCAATAGGCACAACTTTACTTATCTGCAATCTCTTTCCTCTTCTCCCCAAACTGGAAAACTGCTCTTTATTTGAAGACATTGCTTTCTTTGTTTTTCCTAAATATGCTAGTCATTGTCTGTGGGTGATTCTAATACAGAGACCCAGAAAATATCACTCACTATTTAGCATTGTGAGTTAAATTCTTTGCTGTCAGAATTTAGAAGCTCCCAGAACTTTTCACTGAGAATATACTTTCTTGTAATGCAGACAGAATATAATATTCTTAATTACTGATAATGGGATTTTTAGAAAATGCCAAGGTTGAGTTCATAAATCATGAAGTTATTTTAATACATCAGAAATCTAATTGAAAAATGGAAAATATCACATCAGAATTTCAGCAACACCTTGTTTATCCTGCCATATCAATAATACTGTTATTACACAATTGAGGCAACCTCAAAATGGGATGTTCTTTTTGCTTAGAAAACAGTTAATTATTCTAGTATACTCATAATATAGACATCCCTTTTTGAGACTGTGTCAATTGTATAAGAACACCAGTATTTATATAACGGGCATAGGAAGCATGATTAAAATTATGATGTCAAATTTTTCATTTTTTAATTAGATGCATAATGTATTGAAATGATGTAATTTGTAAACTATTTAGCAACAAATTTAGACCACAGTCAAGAAAGTCATAGAAAATAATGAACTACAACAACATGGATAAATTTTATAAACATCATATTAAGTAAAAGAAGTGAGACACAAAGGACTATATACTATATGATTCCATATATATGAAAATCGTTGTGAGAATAATGGATCTATGGTCATGGATGTCAGAATAATTTTTCTGTGAGTACTGACTAGAAGAAGGCATAAGGGAGCCTTTGAGGAGCTTCAAATCTTTTCTGCTTTCACCTGGGTGGTTACATATATAAATGTTCATTGAGCTATAAATCTGAGATCTATCTGCATTTATTTTTATATGTTATACCTCAAAAAATTTTAAGGAAAGAAAACTATTATCTATGAGTAAAGTAGTAAAGGAAGTGTTATATAAGCCAAAGAGTGGTGTTGCACACTATATAGTGTACTTATTCTTTTGGAGTAGTTTTAGTAATATATTGCAATAATTTCAGTTAGAGTCAACTCCACAGCTCTTAAATAACTACTCATTTATGTTTCTTTATTGCTACTCCAACATATGTTTTTAGAATAAACCTAAACAATAGCATCCATGGATGACTGCAGTTTAACTTGAATGGAATTTTGGAGCACAGAGAGACACTTTGAAATGCTGAGCGGGACACTGAAGCTCCTATTCCCTTCTACATAGAAATTGCTTAAGAACTGATTAGATAGCTATATATGCATTAGGCAACATATTATAAAGACAGGAGAAGGAGTTAAAAAACCTTGCAGATCTCTTCTGGTCATGATTTTCTTGATCGACCATGCTGTGTCTTGAGATATTTGAAGCATAGATGTCTGAGGGAATGAAATATGCATGTTCTGACATTTCTAAAAACTAATATGGGAAGGAATAGAAAAAATTTATCCTCTCAATGTATCATATTATCAAAGGCAAAGAGTTGAATAGCCAAATAAATGGTAGTAAAGGAAAATTACCCTCTCTCTTTTCCTGTAATTATTTGAAGAGTTCTTAAGCCATGGCCCCTGGAAAGGTTGGGCCAAGATAAGCCAGAAATAAAGACATAATTGTCCATTCCTTTTTGTAAATTACAAATCATAGCATACAATAATTCGTTTTAAATTTTTACTATTCAAGCTTTTATCTCTTTATTAAGGTTGGCAGCTAAGAGTGGACTCCTGGCATATGTCATATCTTATTCTATGAATAACGTATTCTGTTCTTTTATACTGATTTCTTATCCAGCTTTACCCCCTGCATAATTTTATGTAAATCAAGCTCTCTTTGAAGTCAAAAGAGAGCATTCAGGAAATAAGACAAAAATCTGGCTGCCAGTCTGTTTGCATGTGTAAACAAATATCTTCTGTTTTATTGTTTCCCTGTAAAATCTTGCTTAGAATAGAAAGATCCAAAGCAAAGCAAAACAGTACTATGATTCCAACGTGACCTTGAATTGTAATCTATATCAAAAACTTTGGAGATGGAATTAAAGAGTCCTTTCTAGTTTTGGAAAAGTGAAACCTAAAATAAGTGGAAGTTGGTAAGGAGGGAGTATCACAATGCACATACAGAATTGTTCTGAACACAGACACCTGAATTAAACTTCCCCATGCATTCTCCATAAAGAAGAGATTACTGACCCTTGGCTATGAATTCAAAAAAGTTTACATCACATTCAATTGTAGTAAAGCAAAGGAGTTTCATCCTGTAACAGGGGATGTTTTTAGTTGCATTTTATAACCAACCAAAACAGTTATGCCCCGATAGAACATGATATAACTGAGTTGTTTCCAAGAAATATTTTGTTCATTAGAAATTGACTTTCTTAAGATTACTGCCACCAGTCTTTCTGTACCAGAGAAAAATAAACAGCAAGTATGTATCACTCTCAGTAATAAACTATAGTGGCAGCAAGCTTAATCTGTTGTTAATTAGGCTTGTAGAAAACTAAATCAAGCATCAAAAACCACAGATTATTTTAGGCTTCCTCTAGCATAAACAGAAAGCCTTGAGGGTCCATAACATATTATTTTGGTTGACAGTCTTCCACCTTTTGTCAATTGATTTCATGTTTCTGATAGATTCTGTCTTGATTTCCCTTAGCTCTGTCTTCTCTTGGCCTGCAAGCAGCAGTTTGTTAATTCTTTCTACTTTTTCATATTTAAGCAGAATTACAAACTTCAAATACATTGTAAAATGAACCTGTATACAATATATCAAAACCTCTTAAGTGATACAGTGATAGAAATACTAGACTCATAAGTAAATACAGAACATTTTGAAAATCATTGCAAGTGTTTATTTACAAGCCATTTGTAATTACTAAGCAAGAATGAATGAAAGCTCTGGAAAATGTAAAACAGCAGAGCCTTTTGCATTAAATTACAATTTACCCACAACAAGGAAAAAATAATACTGTTTGTATAAAGTCTGTTCTAATTGAGGAGTGTGATTATGTTCTACAAATTCACTCACAAGCAAATGAAGACTTAACTGGAGAAACTTTAGCACACATGTAAAATAATAAAATAAAACAAGCCACTACAAGGAACAAGTAAACAGATATAAGCAATAATCATATTTTACTATAAGAGTTTCTTATAGTTTTATGTACCTAGGTGATAAATGATCATGTAATAAATTTTTTATTTTGTCTCTTTATTTTTTGAAGATTCCAGCAGAAACTATGCTTCAACAGGAATTTATTTGTTCTTTTCTCCCTCCCTTCCTTCCTTTCTTTTTTCCTCTCCTCCTTCCTTCTTCTTGCCTGCTTTTCTTCCTGCCTTCTTTCCTCCCTACCTTCATCTACATTTTTCTACTCTTCAGCTTACTTGCTTTCTCTCCCTCTCCCTTTATTTATTCTCTTCATCTCCTCCTCTCTATATACCCATGAACATTTTTTAAGCACCTACTTTGTACCAGGTACTGAAAATACAATGTCAAGTGAAACAAACTTCCAGCCCTCATGGAAGTCACAACTTGGAGAGATAAATGAACATGAAATCAAAAAGTATAATATAGAGAAAGTGCTACAATACACACACCAAAAGAAACCCTATACAGCAAGTGCTATAACAAAGATATTTTCTAAGTGCTGTAAGAATGCAGATAATGGGCATATAAATCAGACTGGAAGAAGCAATCAGGATGACTTTTTAGAAATGTTGATGCTTATTATAGATTTTAAAAAACAGACACAAGATATATAAATGAGGAATGAAAGGCACTGTGAGAAGTTAAAAGGTCACACATAAAAGCACAATGACATCAGGAATCAAGATGCAGTCTAGAAGCTATGGGTTTGATTTAAGAGAGGGTGTATGTGGAGTATGTCAGGAGATGAGAGCACAGAAATAGATATTAGTCAAAATATGGAATATTTTATATGCTAAATTAAGAAAGTTGAACTGTATTCTGGAAAGTATGAACAGTAATTTTAAGGATGTTAAGCAAAAACGTGGCTGAATCAAATTTGTGTTTGAAATAGATCACTTTAGAATTAACATGAAAGAAGAAGGAATGAGATAACTCAGGGCAGGAAGCCAGGTTGGTTATTAAAGCTGCAACTAGGCAAGAATGAATGACAGACTTATCTAAGGAAATGGCTTTTAGACAAAAAAGGAAGGAACAGATTTGGCAGTTATTCAGAATGTGTTCTCATCAGAATGTAGTTATATTCTGTAACCAGCCTGATTTGATTACATCCTGTACGTTTTAAATAGCATGTATGAAAGTTGTAACTATTATTCACTGTGCCTCCAGGGTCTAGAAAAACAGCTTTTACTTAGAAAGTACCCAATAAATATTTTTGAATAAATGAAAGTGTTCTGGAACTACAGGAAGTTGTGGTTCAGAGAATGAGATACTAGAGGTTTTTTTAATTATTATTATTTCAGAGATGGAGCAGTTCAAAATTACTGTGGAGTCCATAGTGAGTGCATGAAAGTAGGTGGCTGAAGTGAACAGTGGTTGAAAATCAAGTAACTGTGAGGCAAACATACTCAATGGATTATCTAGATGGATGTTGGACTGATTCTCTTGAGCGTGGATTAAAGATCCTGTGTCCCTGGTAGTTTCCACAGAGCCATAATCCTGACGGAATAAAATGTCTTGATTTGTGGCCTCTACAAAATTGATTTCTAGTGAGGTATTCAGGCATAATAACCATGAATAAACATACTTCAGCAGAAGTGAATATTAATATGATTAATAGTAATGTGATTCTGAGGTGTGAAAAATTACTGAGAAAATTGTTTAAAATTAAAAAATCAATAATAAAGAAAACAAGCATATAGTGATATTGGCCAGATCTTGATGGTATGAGATTTATCTAAACATATAAATGTAATAAAAACTATCTTGCCATAAGTTAACAACCATTTTGCATAGATTAAATGCACTTTTTAAAATAGATAAAGTTATTACATTCCACATTTTCATGTTTCTTTGTCAAACCTCAGTAATTCAAACCAGAAGAAAAAATATTATAAGTCTGAAATTTCAAATATTTTGCATTATATTTAGAAAGCTGAATTAACCAAGTGTTACCTTCTAGTGCACTGATTCTCAACTTTTTATGTCTGTGCAATACATAGAAAATAATAGTATTTGACCATCACATTGGGGGAAACAGATCAGGCTATTTGTATTAGTTCATTCTCACGCTGCTAATAAAGACATACCTGAGACTGGGTAATTTATAAAGGAAAGAGGTTTAACTGACTCACAGTTCAGCATGGCTGAGGAGGCCTCAGGAAACTTACAATCATGGTGGAAGGGGAAGCAAACACATCCTTCTTCACATGGCAGTAGCAAGGAGAAGTGCTGAGCAAAAAAGGGAGAAGCCCCTTATAAAACCATCAGATCTCATGAGATCTAACTCACTATCATGAGAACAGCATGGAGGTAACCACCCCCAATGATTCAATTATCTCCCACCAGGTCCCTACCATGACACAAGGAAATTATGGGAACTACAATTCAAATGAGATTTAGGTGGGGACACAGCCAAATCATATCATTCCACCCCTGGCCTCTCCCAAATCTTCTGTCCTCACATTTCAAAATACAATCATGCCTTCCCAACAAAGTCTAAACTTATTCCAGCATTAACTAAAACGTCCAAGTCCAAAGTCTCATCTGAGACAAGGCAAGTCCCTTCTGCCTATAAGCCTGTAAAATCAAAAGCAAGTTAGCTACCTCCTAGATACAATGGGGGTACAGGCATAGGTTAAATATACCCATTCCAAATGGAAGAAATTAGCCCAAACGAAGGGGCTACAGGCCCTATGCAATTCCAAAATCCAATAGGGCAGTAATTATATCTTAAAGCTCAAAAATAATATTCTTTGATACTATGTCTCACATCCAGGTCACGTGATGTAAGAGGTGGGCTTCCATGACCTTGAGCAGCTCTGCCCCTGTGGCTTGGCAGGGTACAGCCCTCCTCCCTCCTGTTTTCATGAGCTAGTGTTGAGTGTCTGCAGCTTTTCCAGGCTCATGGTGCAAGCTGTCATTGGATCTACCATTCTGGGGTCTGGAGGATGGTAATCCTCTTTGCACAGCTCCACTAGGCAGTGCCCCAGTGGGGACAGTGTGTGAGGGCTCCACCCCCACATTTCCTTTCCACATTGCCCTAGAAGAGGTTCTCCATGAGGGCTCTCCTCTGGCAGCAAACTTCTGCCTGGACATCCAGGCGTTTCCATATATCCTCTGAAATCTAGGCAGAGGTTCAGAAACCTCATTGCCGACTCCTGTGCACCCACAGGCTTAACACCACATGGAAGCTGCCAAGGCTTGGGACTCATACCCTCTGAAGCCACAGCCCGAGATGTACCTTGACCACTTTTAGCCAGAGCTGTAGCAGCTGGGATGCAGGGCTTAAAGTCCCTAGGATGCATACAGCAGGGGAACTTGAGCCTGACCCACTAAATCTTTCTTTTTTCTCCTAGGCCTCTGGGCCTGTGATGACAGGTGCTGCCACAAAGTTCTCTAACATGCCCTGGAGACATTTTCCCTATTGCCTTGGTGATTAATATTTGGCTCTTTGTTACTTATGCAAATTTCTGCAGCAGGCTTGAATTTCTCCTTAGAAAATGAGTTTTTCTTTTTTAGTGCATTGTCAGGCTGCAAATTTTCCAAATTTTTATGTGCTGCCTCCTCTTGAATGCTTTGCTGCTTAGAAATTTCTTCCACCAGATACTCTAAATCATCCCTCTCAAGTTTAAAGTTCCACAGATCCATAGGGCAGTGGCAAAATGCTGCCAGTCTCTTTGCTAAAGCTTAGCAAGAGTCACCTTTATATCTTATATTTCAGATGATTATTAAGTTAGAATTCCAGTTCCGAACGAGTTCCTCATCTCCATCTGAGACCAACTCAGCCTGGACTTCACTGCCCATATCACTATCAGCATTTTGGTCAAAACCATTTAGCAAGTCTCTAGGAAGTTCCAAACTTTCCCACATTTTCTTGTCTTCTTTTGAGCCCTCCAAACCTTTCCATCCTTTGCCTGTTTTCCAGTTCCAAAGTTGCTTACACATTTTCAGGTATCCTTATAGCAGCACCCCACACTCTGAGGTACAAATTTACTGTATTAGTCCATTCTCACACTGTTATAAAGACACACCCAAGACTGGGTAATTTATAAAAGAAAGAGGTTTAATTAACTCACAGTTCAGCATGGCTGAGGAGGCCTCAGAAAACTTTCAATCATAGCAGAAGGGGAAGCAAACATGTCCTTCTTCACATGGTGGCAGCAAGGAGAAGTGCTGAGCAAAAAAGGGAAAAGCCCCTTATAAAACCATCAGATCTCATGAGAACTCACTCACTATCATGAGAATAGCCTGGAGATAACCACCCCCATGATTCAATTATCTCCCACTGGGTCCCTCCCATGACATGTGAGGGTTATGGGAACTACAATTCAGGATGCAATTTGGGTGAAGACACAGCCAAACCATATCACTGTTCATTGTCAGAGAATATAGTGCTAGGCTGTCGTGGCTCTGCAGCACCATGTTGAGTGCTGAGGGGATCCGTGTCTTGGTACTTTTGTAACCCATTTTTGGCATACTACTTGGGAATCTCTGCACTAAAATTCCTGGCTTTTAGAATCAAGAAAAATATGTGTGATTAACAATGGCAGTTCAGTTCAATGCTGGAGAAGATACAATTCCTGTACTTAAAGCATTTGTGTGAGTAGTGCTGGGCTTTGACTTATGTTCCAACTGTAGTAGTTCTATGTAAAAGAGAGAAGTCTAAAAGGTTTTGAAACCATTTGGCTAAAAATTCTCTTTTTTTTCACTATTACTCTGCTTAAAACTCACTTCATTTTCTATAGACAAAATAGCTCCACAGAAATTGTCCCAAATGTCAAATAATTTTTCTTTGAAGTAACAATATTTGACATCAAAAAAATGGCAAACTTTCTGTTAAGAGGCACAGACAGGGTGTTAACATCTTAGGGTGCATAATTGCTTCTAATCATTTGATTATCAGTCTGCTTTATTCTTGAATGATTGTTCTAGCACTCAAATTATAATTTAATGAATATTCATTTGTGCAATGATTTATTTTTACAAATTTTTCTATTAGAGCTGTGAGAAATATATAAAATCAATTTTAAAATACAGCATCTGCCATTAACAATATGATGAGAGGCAGTATGGTTAGTGGTAAAGAGTCATGTAGTGGAAATTAGAAAACCTAGGTTCAAGTCCATTTATGCCACTGTCTAGCAACTTGGGCAACTTACTAAAGCACAAAATTAAAAAATAATGATGTGCGTAAAACAGTTTGTAAAAATTAATATGCTAAACTAATATACTTAGGAACAAAAATCCAGTGAGAAACAGACACAACCATATAATTAGATGTAGAGGAGGGCTAATGTGACGTATGTTATAATAGAGACAGAAATAAAATTATAGAGAGATTTGACTTGGAGAGATTTAGACATAAGAAATACATTTTGAAAGAGACAAAAAAATTGAAATATTTGTGGCAAAATAATACACTAAAAGGTCTTTCCTGAAACCTTATAGTCATTAAAGTGGTGATTAGTAAAATCTATTTTGGGTACTATAAACCCTCAACAAGTTAGAACACAGCTTTAATGCACAGATTTTGTTGTTGTATTGTTTTATTGTGTTTAAACAAAACAAATAAGTCACAGAAAAACACATCGATATTGACAAACTTTTAATAAAATTTCCAGATTCATTTTCTGGTGTATGGTACACATAAAACTTAAACTCTTGTGTGTTATTCATATCTCTAGTCCTTGACAAATATTTTTCAGGCAGCTGAAACTCAAGTCTTGCAATATCCTCAGTCAAAAAAATGTTTTAATAAAGACATTCAGTTATGATCGTTAAACTACATGATACCCAGAAATGGGGCTCCAGAAATTTGTTAAAATCTTCAAAAGATTTTTTTAATTATAAAGCTCCATCTAACCAGATCATTTAGTTACACAGAAATGCTTACATCAGGCATTCACGTTAGTTGAAATTGTGTTCTATTTCAAAGAGGTGCTCTGCCCTTTGTTATCAGATATTATTTGTTTTAAAGAGCAATAGCTATGAGAACCTAGTGAATGAAATCACTTTCCTTCCAACTACCTGGGATGAATAAAGTGTGGTACAATGGAGTAGGCATAACTATTGGCCCAAACGGGAAAAAGCAGGAAAAAAAAAATTCCTATATTGGTAAGCATAAGGAGTGGGCAGTTGTCAAAACTGAGATAAATACAGAGAACTGTATTAGAAAAGTGTGTGGGGTGTGTGTGTGTGGATATGTGTGTTTGTAGAAGTGTAAAAAAGCAGTAAAATAATTGAACTAAGTTTTCGTCCCAGCTCTGCTAATAGCAGTTTTGAGCACTTCATTTCTCTGGATCCCAATTTTATTATCTAAAAAATGAAGATTTATATTAGATGATGTCTAAGGTTCCTTATAGCCCTCATTTTATATGATAATTATTTTCTAATACTTTCTATTAGGGATGATTTTCTAATACTGTTAAATTGAAGCACTGAACAAAAGAATATGATGTATTTTCATTTTCTTGTTTTGATGTTATCCCATTTATCATGTATTTAGACCTTTTCTTAACATAGTTATACATTATTCCTCTTAATGTTAAATATTATATTTCCTATATAATCTCAGAATTTAAAAGGTGGTCATAAAATTTTCATGTTTTGGACCATCTTCTGAAATTTCAGAACTTATCATAAACCCTAAATTTTTGATGCATGAATTTTTATGTATGTGTGTTCAGGAAGTCTTATTGTAGCTATTAGTCACATTTCAGTGATTCCAAGAGATTAATTTTATAGTCAGCTCACTGGAGGTAATAAACCACAAGAGTGATTGTTAATAAAAATGAGCATTCATGTTTAGTCAATTTGTAGCAAGGTGATGTTCCTATTAGACTTACTACATTTATTTATCTGTATATAGTTATATCTATCAAACACTGGTTAAAAGCGTCTTCCACTCTACACAAAGGAAATACTGGAGCTAAACACATTCCAAATACAGGACTGATTGTGTGCATGTGTGTGTGTGTGTGTGTGTGTAAGGAAGGGAATGGGAATGGGAAGAAAGAAAAGGGACTGGAAGAGGCTAAAATAGAAGATTGTGAGTGATTGCGTTTTAATATCTTCTTTTTTATTTTTCTGCATTTTATGTATGTTTTACTGTAAGCAGGTAGTGAGTAGAAAGGACAAAATTGTCCCCAGAAAAAAAAATTTATAAATGCGGATATGCTATCAACTTGCATCAATTATACCTCATAACTGACTCTATCCTCTTCCTAATTTGATTATCAGCCTCCTAACTGTCCTTCCTATCTTTACTTGTGGCCCTACGCCAATCTATTATTTACATAACAGCCAGAATAACTTTTATAAAATGGAAATTAAATAGACACTGCCTTGCTTAAAACTTTCTCATGGTTCCTCATGACAGTAGCTTCCACATGTTTTTTTTAGCCATAGACCTCTCTCAACAAATGAATTCTCACTTGCAAGCCCACTACAAAAAATGATTTAAAAAGTTGTTTTTAATTATTACTGCTATTTTTTTTTTTTTTTTTTGAGACGGAGTCTCGCTTTTTCGCCCAGGCTGGACTGCAGTGGCGCTATCTTGGCTCACTGCAAGCTCCGCCTCCCGGGTTCACGCCATTCTCCTGCCTCAGCCTCCGGAGTAGCTGGGACTACAGGCGCCGGCTAACACGCCCGGCTAATTTTTTTTTTTTTTTTTTTTTTTTGGATTTTTAGTAGAGACGGGGTTTCACCGTGTTAGCCAGGATGGTCTCGACCTCCTAACCTCGTGATCCACCCGCCTCGGCCTCCCAAAGTGCTGGGATTACAGGCCTGAGCTACCGCGCCCGGCCAATTATTATTGCTATTAAAGTAGAAGTGGTTTGTCTAAAGTCTGCCCCTCCCTGGCATCCCCATGGTAGCATTTGGAGATATCCATGAAACTCCCAAAACTCTCCAGAATAGTTCATAAACCACTAATACAGAGAATGAAGTCCAAATCTCTTACAGAAACTTAAAAATGCTTTTGTGATTTATCTTCTGTTTACCTCCCTAGCCTTATCTCATGTTGCTGACCCCAGCCCTTGATGTTCCAAAGACATGTTCAGTCATCTCAAGCCTTTGTATAATATTGCTTCTCTGGATGGAATCCCCACTCCTCCCTTGTTCAACTAATAAAGCATTATTCATATGTCAAGTCCTTTCTCAGTTTCTAGTTCATTATTACCCCTTTAAATTCAAATAATATGTTCATGTCGGCAGTCATGGGAAGCAGATAAATTAAGCCACTTCTCAAAATCAAGAACACAAAGTTCGGCCGGGCACAGTGGCGCACACCTGTAATCCCAGCACTTTGGGAGGCCGAGGTGGGCAAATCACGAGATCAGGAGTTTGAGACCATCCTGGCTAACACGGTGAAACCCCGTCTCTACTAAAAATACAAAAAAAAAAAAAAAAATAGCCGGGCGTGGTGGCAGGCACCTGTAGTCCCAGCTACTCGGGAGGTTGAGGCAGGAGAATGGCGTGAACCTGGGAGGCGGAGCTTGCAGTGAGCCGAGATTGCGCCACTGCACTCCATCCCGTGTGACAGAGCAAGACTCCGTCTCAAAAAGAAAAAAAAAAAACAAACATAAAGTTCAAAATCAAGAGCACAAATTACTTCACAGACAGAGGTTCTTTGCCCATATGTCTTCTCCATGAAGGTCAAGGTGCTATGAGGAAAAAAAAAAAAAAAAAAAGAATCTACCAAGATAACCACAAGCCTCCATACAGCCATTATGCAAGAATTTCATCCTTTTAATTGATTCTCCAACCTTCTCTATTTGCTCTAATAATCATGGATTTTTATAAAATTGTACTTTCAGAGCACGTACCAAATTAATACTAATTAGTAGGAGATAGCCTCGCATACACCTTACAGTCAGGTTAAGTGTATTATAAAATTATTTACTCGATTCTTGTCCATTGGGAAATTCTTAAACCTGAGAAATTCACTCATGTCTAGATGATCCTGCATAGTGAATGCCTATGTAGAGAAGTACCAGAGACTTAAAGGTTCTGTGAGACTGCACCAGGAGTAGAAGGAGGCCTAAACAACCCACTCTGTGAAGGTAACTGAGTGAACATCTTGCCAGTGAAGGATCACACACAAATATTTCATCTGTATTAATAAACCTCATCCCTCAGCTGGCAACTATGACCCATTCAAGACTATTTATCCTTGATTGGAATTCTCATAATCTTTTATTACATCAACTGTCACTCAGGATCAAGAGAGATGTCGACTTCTCTTCATGTCTACATCTCCAAGAGATCACCCCATCTAGACACTGCATCAAATGTAACAAACACCATCATTTGGAATATTTTTAACCAGGTCAAAGCAATTCAAAGACGTGTTCCTCTTTCCTTGTCCCACAGAAGTGTGTCATATTAGATTGACATCTGATTTGTCTATCTCCTATAACCATGACACTATCTTGGTCATTATAAATGCCCTAAAAAATGACACATTTTGTATTAGCTCCAGGGCTCCCCACTAATACAAGACTTTTTTTTACCTGTGTATTGAAAAATAATTTGTATTCCTGAGAGCTGACAGGTAAACTAAAATCTAATTATTAACACCAGTTTATATCTCAGCTTTAGACAATGTCATCAAAAATTAATCTAATCCTCATCTGCGTTCAATCCACTCTCCATCTGCAAACCTACATCCATATTTCCTAGGAATTCTGGAATCTCTTCCATAGATGAGGCTACAGGAAGTCTATAACTCTAACAGGTTCCTAGGATATCTCACTAGTATCAACCTCCATCTGTATTTCTAAGTTCACTCATAATATGTTCCCTTCCAAAGTTGCATATCATATGTTTCAGGCTTATTTAAATATCACTAAACATAGTATAGCTTTTTGTTTTTTGCCTTCTATGGTGGAAGTTTCCTTTTTATTACATATTCAGGGGGTATATGTACAAGTTTGTTACATGGATACATTGCATAATGGTGAGGTTTGGGCTTCTCATGTACCCATCACCCAAATAGTGAACATTGTACCCAACAGATAATTTTCAACACTTGGCCTCCTCCTAACCTCCACCTTTTTGGAGTCTCCCACTTCTATTACTGTCATCTTTATGTCCATGTGTACCTATTGTTTAGCTCATACTTGTAAGTGAGAACATGTGGTATTTGTTTTTCTGTTTCCGAGTTATTTTACCTAGGACAATGTCCTCATGTTCCATCCATGCTGCTGCAAAGGACATAGTTTCATTATTTTTATGGCTGCATAGTATTCCATGACCTATACATGCCATATTTTCTTTATCCACTCATCTATTTGTGGGCACTTAGGTTGATTCCATGACTTTGCTATTGTGAATAATGCAGTGATAAACATACAAGTGTTATTTTCTATTATTTTGTAATAACTACAATTAATAACTAAAATATGTCTACTAAAAGAACCACAAACACTTGGAGGCAGAACTCATGGAATGGCAATGTGAGGAGCTTGTAGAAACCTCTGCCCCACAGGGACATGTTTTAAGCTTGTCAAAACTAGCAAAGACAATCATTCAAAGCGCTTGGGATCAAAGTACTTATAAAAAATTGGGAAGCATCTACTCAAAAATATCTATAGAAACTTGGTAAGAAAAATGGGATCCTGTGGTATTCAAGGTGGGGATTATACCCATCCCCAACAGGTCTGCCTTGTGGAGAAACTATTTTAGCTATCCTGACAGCCAGGTGGCAATTCTTCTTTCTCACAGCTGATTAAGGTAGAAAACCTGTTCTGGGTGGATTGGCAACAAGTTAACATCTACAGATCATATTTTTCACAAATCCATGCTTCAGAAGGCCTATATTGAGTAGTGATGGCAGTGACACTGGTGCCTGTTCTCTGTCTCTATACATGGATGCATGCATGTGCAGGCGCGGGCACACACACACACACAAGCACACACAGCACTTGCCCTGTAGGGCAGATCTTGTTAGGAAAGCTACTGATGAGCAATTCCTTCTCCCCCACATGCCAGTTTCTGGTTTATAACACACAAGTTCTTTCTGCCTATCGGTGGGTCAAAACAAGCTTCTAAGACGGGCAATACCATGGCCCTGACAAAGGGCCTGAAATCAATTGGATCAGAGTGCAGAGAAATTTATGCTAAAGAGCATAAATTTGAAAGGCCAAAAGCAAGACTTCAATCAACTAGTAACTGGTGGAATCTAACAGCTAAGTGTAATACCAGTAAAGGAGGACTAACCAGAAACTTAACAGGATGCTATGGTTTAAATGCATGTGTTCCTCCAAAATTAACATGTTAAAACATTATACTTTATGTGATAATATTAAGAAGTGGGGCCCCGGAAAATAATTAAGTCATAAGTACTCCAACCTCATGAATGGGATTAGAGCTCATATAAAAGAGATGGAAAGGAATGTTCTAGTCCTTTTTTGCCCTTCTGCTTTCTGCCATATGAAGATACAGCAACAAGGTACCATATCGGAAGCATAGAGCAAGCCTTCACCAGACACAAAATCTGCTGGCACATTGAACTTGAAACGTCCAGCCTCCAGAGCTGTGAAAAATAAATTTCTATTGTTTACAAATTACCCAATTTGCAGTATTCTGTTATGGAAACATCAATATACTAAGACAGATACTAGTATTGAAAAATGGAGTATTGTTATAACAAATAACTGAAAATGTGAAAGTGGCTTTGGAGCAGGGTAATGGGTAGGGGTTGGAGGCAATTCTGATGAGGTATAAGATGGAAATTAAGAACAAGGTATTAAAAACTGGAGGAAAGGCCATCCTTGTTATAAAGTGGCAATAAATGTGGCTGAACTTTATTTGTGTCCTGGTCCTTTGTGAAAAAAACTTAAGAACAAAGAACTAGAATTTTTTTGCAGAAAAAAAAAATTCTAAGCAAAGTGTTGAGGGTGGGTAATGGCTTACAGTAAAAGGTAATAAAAGAGAATCAAATTAAAGACAGAATTTATAACATAAAGAGAAGCAGAACTTCAAGATTTGGAAAAGTCCCAGCCTGGCCATGTTGCACCCAGTGAAAAAGTATGTCCAAGAAAGAACGCAAAGGATGTGGCCAAAAAACCATTTGATAAAGGGATTAGTACGGATGAGTGGAAGCCTTGTGCTATTCATCATGAGGATGGAAAAATGACTCTGAAGGCATTTACAATATCATCATAGCTTCATTCCCAGCAAAAACCAAAAGTACCAAGCCCTGGGGAAAAAAACTATGTTAAAACAAGGGCCTTGGTCATCCTTGAGGTCTCAGCACTTGCTGCCTGGCACTGCTTTAAGTCTCTGCTTCCTGAATTCTGAGCCATTGCAACTCAGATATCCTAGGTGTGACTCCAGTGGGCCTAGGTGCAATGTGAGTCACAGTGGCCACCCCTCCAGAGTGCACAGGTAACAAAACCTTGGAGGCATCCACACGGTGCCATCTTTGCTGGACCAGAGTGCACAAGCTATGGGAACATGGAAGCCTTAACCTGGATTTGGAAGAATGGAGCTTCCTAAAGCTTAGAATATGCAACCCCAAAAGAGGGCTGCCTTGAGAGTGGGGTTGCCACAGAGAAACCTACTATGGCAATAGCCATTGGAACCATGGCAACTAGGAAATGGTAGAGAGTCCCCATTAAGGCAATGTTCAGTGAGCCATAGAAATAAAGCCACCCAACGGGGAGCAGTGGCTCACGCCTGTAATCCCAGCACTTTGTAAAGCTGAGGCAGGTGGATCATGAGGTCAGGAGATCGAGACCATCCTGGCTAACACAGCAAAACCCCCCTCTACTGAAATTACAAAAATTAGCTGGGCGTGGTGGCGGGCGCCTGTAGTCCCAGCTACTCAGGAGGCTGAGGCAGGAGAATCGCTTGAACCTGGGGGGGCAGAGGTTGCAGTAAGCGGAGATTGCGCCACTGCACTCCAGCCTGGGCAAGAGAGACTCCGTCTCAAAAAAAAAAAAAAAGAAAAAGAAAAGAAAAGAAAAAAAAAGAAATAAATAAAGCCACCACCCTCGAGACCACAAAACAATAGAGCCACCAGTGTGCAACTACAGCCTGGGAGAACCCAAAGCATGAGACTCCAGTCTCTGAGGGCTGCAGCATGAGCTATGCTAAAACATGGGGACTGAGTTACCTGAAGCCTTAAGGGCCCAATTTTGTCCTCATTGTAACTGGAATGCGTGACATGAGGTAAACAAATATCTTTCTCCAGCCTTAAGATTTAATGTTGCTTGCCTTGCTGGGTTTTGAGCGTATTTGGGACTTATAAGTCTATTCTTCTTTTCTATTTATCTCTTTGAAAATGAGAATATCTATCCTATTTGTATCCCACCATTGGATTTTGGAAGCACGTAACTTGTTTGATATCACAGGGTGACAGTTGGAGGGTAATTTGTCTCAGAATGAATCATACATTGATTCTCACTCATATCTGATTTAGACAATATTGAGATGAAACTTTGGATATAGATTTTAAAGTTGATGTTTGAAAAAGTTAATATTTCTGGAGCTATTGTGGTGGAATAAATTTATTTTGCATGTGAGAAGGACACAAATTTCGGGGTCCAGGAGAAAATAAAATGGTTTGAATACTTTCCCCCCAAAATTCAGGTGCTCATGAAACATCAGGGCTTGCTGCCCAGGGCTGTCTCATCTCTGTTCCCCACATTCTGGCACAATGCTCTTGAGCTGCCCCAGCTGTAGTTCAAGCAGGCACAGGTGAGCCTCAGGCCATTGCTTTCCTAGGGTGCAGTCTAGGGCCCTTGGCAGTGTCCGTGTGGTCCTAATTCTGCAGGTGTACAGAGTGCATGAGCTGCAGAAGCATGACTAACTCTACTTAGATTTTACAGGATGCCATAGAGAGCCTTGGGGCCCAGGCAGATTACTATTTCAGGGGTGGGTGTGCAAAAGACAGTCCTCATTTAGAAAATGTCTAGTAGAGCTGTGGGATTGGAGCTAGTGCTGAGAGCCTTCACCAGAGCAATGACAAGTGGAACTGTGGGGCTGGGGCACTGCAGAGATTCCCCACTAGGGCAATAGTTAGTGAAGCTGTCCTGGCAGGACCATTCTCAAGACCCTAGATCTCTAAAGTGATCAGCATGCAGCATCAGCATTGGAGAGCCATAGGCTAAGGCTTCAACCCATGAAAGTTGCAGCATGGGCTGTTCCTAGAATATCCATGAGGGTGTGGTCACCAAGAGTCTGGGTGCCCAACTCTCATCTTAGTTTGTGCAAAAGGAAAGACATGGTGTCGGGGAGGTCTATTCTTAGGCTTCACTACATGGTGTTATTTACCTTGTGTTAGGAATTGCTTGGGACCTGTTACAATTTTTTTTTACCTATTTCTTACCTTTGGAATTGAAATGTGTATTCTAAAACTGTCCCAGAATTTTCTTTTGCAAGTATATAACTGTTTTAATTTCACAGGCTCACCAATAGAGGGAATTTTTTCTCACAACGAATCATGCCTTGAGTCTTACCCAAATTTGATTAAATGAGACTCTGAACTTTATACTTTTGAGTTGATGCTGGAATAAACTAAGACTTTTAGGGCTACTGAAGTGGAATAAATGTATTTTCCATGTGACAAGAACATGAATTTTGGGTAACCAGAGGCAAATGCTATAGTTTGAGTATGTCCCCTTTAAAATTCAGGTGTTGAAAGTTAATAGCCAATGTGATAATATTAAAAGATAGGGCTTTTAATAGGTGATTAGGTCAGGAGGGTTCCTGTCCTTTTAAATTTTATTAAGGTTATTACAAAAGAGAATTCACTTAGCACTTGACTAGCTTGCTCTTGTGCCTTCCACCATGTGAGGACACATCATTCCACCCCTTTGGAGTATGCAGAGAACAGCTCTTACCAGACAGTGAAACCTACCAGTGCCCTAATTTTTTGTTTCCAGCTCCTAGAATGGCAACACATATATTCTTTATGAATTATCCAGTATCAGGTATTTTGTAAGGGCAATACAAACACACTAAGACATCACCAAAAGGACACAGTAATCTCCCCTAGCTGACCCCCCAAAATGGAGGCATACAAACTGCCTGAAAAATAATTACGAACAGTTATCTTCAGAAAAATCTCAAAACTTCAAGAAAATACAGACACTATTAATAAAATTAGGAGAATAATAAGTAAACAAAACCAGAAATTTAACAGAGAATAAAATTATTTTAAAAAGTCAAACGAAATCTAAAGCTGAGTAATACAAAAAATAAAAGCACAAATTTAGTACACTACTATCAAAAATGGATATATCATAGAGACAGAAAATCAATAAGGAAACATTGGAATTAAGCTGCACTTTAAATCAAATGAACCTGACATATACATAACATTCCATTCAATGGTATCAAAATACACATTCTTCCTAAGTGCACATGGAACATTCTCCAAGTTGGATCAAATTTTAGTCCATGAAAAAAATCAGCAAATTTTAAATGATTGAAACTGTATCAAGTAACATTTCTGATAGCAATGAAATAAAAATAGAAATCAATAACATAATAAATTTGAAAAATTATAAATTTGGAAAACTTACAAATTCACGAAAATTGAACGATATGCTTCTGAACAACCAATGAATCAATTAAGAAATTAAAAAAGAAATTTAAACATACCTGGAGACAAAAGCAGTCCTAAGCCAAGACAACAAAGCTAAGGGCATCACATTACCTGACCTCCAACTATGCTCTAAGCCTACAGTAACCAAAATAGCACAGTTCTGGTACAGAAACAGACACACAAACCAATGGAACAGAATAGAGAACCCCAAAATACAGCCAAACACCTACAGTCATTTAATCTTCAACAAAGTCAAAAAATAAGAAACAAGAAAAAGACTCTCCATTCAATAAATGGTGCTGGGATAGCTGGCTAACCAGATGTGGAAGAATGAAACTGAACACCTGCCTTTCACCAAATGCAAAAGTTAATTCAAGATGAATTAAAGTATTAAATCTAAAACCTCAAAGTATAAGAATCTTAGAGAAAAGTCTTAGAAACAGCATTTTGGACCTGGGCCTTGAGAAAGATTTTATGACTAAGTCCTCAAAAGCAATTGCAACAAAAACAAAAATTGACCAGTGAGACCTAATTAAAATAAAAAGCTTCTGCACAGCAAAAGAAATGATCAATAGAGTAAACAGACAACCTACAGGATGGCAGAAAATATTTTCAAACTATGCATCCAACAAAGGACTAATATCAGAATCTATAAGAAACTTAAACAATCAACAAGGAAAAAGCAAACAACCCCGTTAAAAAGTGGACAAAGGACATAAACAGATATTTCTCAAAAGAAGACACACAAGTAGCCCACAAACCTATGAAAAAAATGCTCATCATCACTAATCTTCAGAGAAATGCAAGTCAAAACCACAAGGAGATACAATCATGCCAACTAGATTGCCTATTATTAAAAAGTCAGAAAGCAACAGATATTGGTGAGGCTTCAGAGAAACGGAGATGCTTATACACTGTTGGTGAAAATGTAAATTACTTCAGCCACTGTGGAAAGCAGTTTGGAGATTTCTCGAAGAACTTAAACTGAATTATTTTTTGACCCAGCAATCCCATTACTGGATATGTATCCAAAAGAAAATAAATTATACTACCAAAGAGACACATGTACTTGTTTGTTCATCTCCACACTATTCACAATAGCAAAGAAATGGACTCAAATTAGGTGTCCATCAATGGTAGAGTGGATAAGAAAATATGGTATATATACACCATGGAATATTATTCAGCGATAAAAAGAATAAAATTATGTTGTTTGCAGCAACATGGATGGAGGTGGAGGCCATTATTCTAAGTGAATTAATGCAGGAACAGAAAACCAAATACCACATTATATCACTTATAAGTGGAAGCTAAACATCAAGAACTCATGGACACAGAGACGGCAACAATAAACACAGAGGACTGCTAGAGGAGGGAGGGAGGGAGGAAGGAAGGGAGAGGTGCAATGGTTGAAAAACAAACGGTTGGGTACTATGATCAGTACTTAAGTAACAAAATCATTTATATCCCAAACCTCACCATTACACAATATATCCAGGTAACAAACTCACACATGCACCTTCTGAATTTAAAATAAAATGTGAAAAAGTAAAAGTATCTGGAGGAAACAAAATAAAACACAACATATCAAGAAATGTGGGATGCAACAAATGCAATTCCAAGATGGAAGTTTGTAGCAATTACCATGTATATCAAAAAAAGCAAAAAGATATAAAATGAACAACCTAATGTTATATCTCAACAAACTAGAAAATAAAGAACAACCTAAGCCCAAAGTTAGCAGAAAGAAATAACTAATAAAGATTGGAACAGAAATAAGTGAAATAGACACTACAAAAAGAATAGAAAGAAATCAACAAAACTGAGTTGCTCCTTTTAGAAAATTTAAACAAAATTAACAAGATTTTAGCTAGACTAAGACACCAATAGAAAATTCTCAAGTAAAATCAGCAATGAAAGAAAATATATTACAATTGATATAACAGAAATACAATGAATAATACAAAAGTATTAAAAATTATATGCTAACAAACTAGGTAACCTAGAAGAAACAGATACATTCCTAGACACACACAACTTAAGATGAATCACAAAGAAACAGAAATTGTGAAAATAACAATAATGCATAAAGGGATTGAAACATTAATAATATATTTCTCATGGAAGAAAAACCTAAGACCTGCTGACTCCTCTGTTAATTCTGACCAAACATTGAATAACCAATACCAATTCTTGTCTAACTGTTCTAAAAAATAAAAAAAGAAAATACTTTCAAACTCATTTTCCAAGCCCAGCATAACCCAGATACCAAAGTCAGACATGGACACTACAAGAAAAAAAAGAGAAAAAGAAAAAAAGTAAACACTCTAGGCTAATATCCCACATAAACAGAGATTTGAAAATATGAACAAACCAAATTTAACAGCAAGTTAAAATAATACTTCACCATCTCATGTGGGATTTATTCCAGGAATGCAATAATGTTTCAGCACACACAAATTGATAATTTTGAAACATCAGATTAACAAAATGGACAAAATTTATATGAGCATATAAATAGATACAAAACAATCATTTGACAAAACTTAACATCAATTTGTGAATAAAAAACTATCAAGATAAAAGGCATAAAAATAATTAACCTGAAAACAATAAAGGCTTTACATAAGAAATTTATATCTATCATACTCAATGGTGAAAAGTGTAACAGTTTGTCTCTAAGATCAGGGAAAAGACAAGAATAATTATTATTGCCACTTCTGTTCAATGTGGTACTAGAAGTACCAGCCAGAGCAATTAGACAAGAGGGAGATGTTAAAGACTCCAAATAGAACCAAAAAAAAGTTAAATTGTTCTTGTTTACATAATCTTATGTATAGAACATTGTAAAAACTCTACCCAAAATTGTGAGAACTATAAATAAATTCAGTAAAATTTAGATTGTAAAAATCAACAAAAGGAATTCAGCAGTGTTTTGATAAACTAACAACAAACTATCTAAAAAGGAAATCAAGAAAAAATTAATTTAAAGTAGCTACAAACAGTAAAAAACTTATGAGTACATTTAACCATGGAGTTGACAGATCTGTACATTGAATACTATCAAACTTTGATAAAAGAAGTTGAAGAAGACACGAATAAATGGAAAGATATCATATGTTCATGGATTGGGATAATTAATGTTGTTAAAATGTTCATGCTATCCAATGTGCTATACAGATTCAATGAAATCACTATCAAAATATCAAGGACATTTTACATGGAAATAGAAAACATCATTTTAAAATTCATATGGAATCACAATAGTTACCAAACATGTAAAGCAATTTTTAGCCAAAAGAACAAACCTCAAAGCATCATACTACCACTTCAAAAAAAATATAAAGCCATAGAAATCAAACAAGCATGATACTCATATAAAATCAGGCACATAGCTTAATGGAATATAATAGAGATCCCAGAAATAAATCCACATAGTTAAGGTCAGCTGATTTTCAGCAAGGCTGCCAAGGACACACAATGGGGAGAAATCAGTCTCTTTAATGAATAATGCTGAGAAAACTGGATATCCAACTGCAGAAGAGTGAAATTACACTCTTATTTCACACCATATAAAAAATTAAATCAAAGTGGATATAAGACTTAAAGATAAGATCTGAAACTATAAAATTACTGGAAGAAAACTGATATTGTTTGTGTATTGTCTCCACCCTGTATTAGTCTGTTTTCACACTGCTGATAAAGACATACCCGAGACTGGGCAATTTACAAAATAAAGAGGTTTAATGGACTTATAGTTCCACGTGGTTGGGGAGGCCTCACAATAGTGGCAGAAGGCAAGGAGGAGCAAGTCATGTCTTACATGTATGGCATCAGGCAAAGAGAGAGTTTGTGCAGGAAAATTCCCATTTTTAAAGCCATCAGACTTATTCACTATCATGAGAACAGCACAGGAAAGACCCACCTTCATGATTCAATTACCTCACACTGGGTTTCTCCCACATCATCTGGGAATTGTGAGGGTTACAATTTAAGATGAGATTTGGGTGGAGACACAGCCAAACCATATTATTCTGTCCCTGGACCCTCCCAAATCTCATGTCCTCACATTTCAAAACCGATCATGCCTTCCCAACAATCCCTCAAAGTCTTAACTCATTTCAGCATTAACTCAAAAGTCCACAGTCCAAAGTCCCAACTGAGACAAGGCCAAGTCGCTTCCACCTATGAGCCTGGGAAATCAAAATCAAGTAGGTTACTTCCTAGATACAATGCAAGGTACAGGCATTGGGTAAATACAGCCATTCTAAATGAAAGAAATTGGCCAAAACAAAGGGGCTACTGGCCCCATGCAAGTCCAAAATCCAGCAAGTCAGTCAAATGTTAAAACTCCAAAATGATGTCCTTTCAAGAAATGGGTTCCCATGGTCTTGGGCAGCTCTGCCCCTGTTGCTTTGCAGGGCACAGCCTTCCTCCTGATTGCTTTCATGGGCTGGCTTTGAGTATCTTCAGCTTTTCCAGGTGCACAGTGCAAGCTGTCAGTGGATCTACTATTCTGGAATTTGGAGCATGGTGGCCCTCTTCTCACAGCTACACTAAGCAGTGCCCCAGTAGGGACTCTGTGTGGGGGCACCAATGCAACATTTCCCTTCCACACTGCCTTAGCATAGGTTCTCCATAAGGGCCCCACCTCTGCAACAAATTTCTTCCTGGACATTCAGGCATTTCCATACATCCTCTGAAATTTAGGTGGAGGTTCCCAAACCCCAATTCTTTTTTTTTTTTTTTTTTTTTTTTTTTTTTTTTGAGATGGAGTCTCACTCTGTCGCCCAGGCTGGTGTGCAGTGGCACAATCTTGGCTCACTGCCACCTCCACCTCACAGGTTCAAGCAATTCTCCTGACTCAGCCTCCTGAGTAGCTGGGGTTACAGGCATGCACCACCACACCCAGCTAATTTTTTATATTTTTGGTAGAGACGGGGTTTCACCATGTTGGCCAGGCTGGTCTGAAACTCTTGAACTCAGATGATTCACCCACCTCAGCCTCCCAAAGTGCTGGTATTACAGGCGTGAGCCACTGTGCCTTGCCCCCAATTCTTGACTTCTGTGTACTCACAGGCTCAACACCACATGGAAGCTGTCAAGGCTTGAGGCTTGAACTCTCTGAAGCCAAGGCTCGAGATCTGTTGGCCCCTTTCAGCCATGGCGGAAGTGGCTAGGACATAGGGCACCAAGTCCCCAGGCTACACAGAGCAGGAGGTGCCCTGAGCCCAGCCCACAAAACCGTTATTTACTCCTAGGCTCCAGGTTTGTGATGGGAGGGGCTGACGTGAAGACTTGACACGCCCTGGAGACATTTTCCCCATTGTCTTCGCAATTAACATTTGGCTCCTTGTAAATTATCCAAATTTCTTTAGCAGGCTTGAATTTCTCCTCAGAAAATAGGTTTTTCTTTTCCATTGCATTGTCAGGCTGCAAATTATCTGAACTTTTATGCCCTGTTTTCCTTTCCTTTTTAAACTGAACGCTTTTAGCAGCACCCAAATCAGTTCTTGAATGCTTTGCTGCTTATAAATTTTTTCTGCTAGGTACCCTAAATAATTTTCCTCAAGTTCAATGTTCCACAAATCTCTAGAGCAGAGGCAAAATGCTGCCAGTCTCCTTGCTAAAACATAGCAAGAGTCACATTTTCTCCAGTTCCCAACAAGTTTCTCATCTCTATCTGAGACCACCTCAGCCTGTTCCACTGTCCATATCACTATCAGCATTTTGGTCAAAGCCATTTAACAAGTCTCTAGGAAGTTCCAAACTTTTTCACATTTTCCAGTCTTCTTCTGAGCCCTCCAAACTGTTGCAGCCCCTGCCTGTTACCCAGTTCCAAAGTCACTTCCACATTTTTGGGTATCTAGAGCAGCGCCCCTCTCTACTTTTACCAATTTACCGTATTAGTCAGTTTTTATGGTGCTGATAAAGACGTACCTTAGACTTGGCAATTTACAAAAGAAAAGCGTTTGATGGACTTACAGTTCCACGTGGCCAGAGAGGCCTCACAATTATGGTGGAAAGCAAGGAGGAGCAAGTCACATCTTATGGGAATGGCAGCAGGCAAAGAGAGAGCTTGTGTAGAGAAACTCTCATTTTTAAAACCATCTTTTAAAAATCTTGTGATTTTTAAATTTTAAATTTTAATTTTAATTTAAACTAAGTTAAAATGAATTAACTTAATTTAAATCATATTAATCTAATTTAAATTTAATTAAATTTTAAATTTTTAAATCTTGTGATTTTTAAAGATCTTTTGAGACTTATTTACTATCACAAGAACAGCATAGGAAAGACCCTCCTTCATGATTCAATTATCTCCCACCAGGTTCCTCCCATGACATGTGGGAATTATGGGAGTTACAATTCAAGATGAGATTTGAGTGGGGACACAGCCAAACCATATCAGTCCCTAGCCAAATCTCATGTTGAATTGTAATCCTCAATCCTGGAGATGAGGCCTTGTAGGAGGTGTTTGAGTCATGAGATAGGATCCCTCATTGCTTGGCGTTGTCTTTATAATACAATTCTAGTGAGATCTGGTCATTTAAAAGTGTGTGGCACCTCCCCTCCTCTTGCTATTGCCCCTACTTTTATCGTATAATGCTCTTGCTCCTCCTTCAACATCTGCCATGATTGTAAACTGTCTGAGGTCTCTCCAGAAGCAGATGCCAACCCTATGCTTCCTATACAGCCTGCAGAGCAGTGAGCCAATTAAAACTTCAAAAAAAAATTCCCAGCCTCAGGTATTTTTCATAGCAATGCAAATCAAACTAATAAAGAAAATTTGTACCACGAAGTAGGGCTTTGCTATAAAGGTACCTGATTATATGGAAGTGTATTTAGTACTGGGTAATGGGCAGAGGATGGAAGAGTTTGGAGGGCTAAGAAGAGTACAGAAATATGAGGGAAATTTGCAATTTTTTAGAGACTGATAAAATAATTGTGACAGAAATTCTGATGGTAAACAGACAGTGAAGTCCAGCTTGATGAGGTCTCAAATGGAAATGATAAACCTGTTGGAAACTGGAGCAAATATTATGCATGTAATGCCTTAAGAAAACTTGGCTGCATTCTGTTTATGCTTTAGGGCTCTGTAGAAGTTTCAGCTTGAGAATGATGATGTTGGGTATCTGAAAGAAGAAGCATCTAAGCAGCAAATTGTTCAAGATGTGGCCTGGCTATCTCTATCAGCCTACACTAAGATGTGGGAGCAAATAAATGACTTATAAAAGCTGGAACTTATATTTAAAATAGAAGCAGAGTGTAAGTGTTTGGAAAATTTTCAGCCTGGCCATGTGGTGGAAAAGAAAGCCTCTTTTGAGGAGAAGAATTCAAGCAATCTGTGGGGCAACAAATTGCTAGACATATTTACATAACTAAAAGGGAGCCAAATGTAAATATCCAAGACAATGAGGGAAAAGACATAGAAGGCAATTCAGAAAACTTTGTGGCAGCTTCTCCCACAACAGGACCAGATGCCTTGTAGGACTGAATGGTTTTGTAGTCCAGACCCAGGGCCCCATAGTCCTGTACATCCTCAGGACACTGCTCCCCACATCCCAGCCACTCCAGCTCCAACTGTGACTCAAAGGAGCACAGGTACAGCTCAGGCTGCAGCTCCAGAGGGTGCAAGCTATAAGCCTTGGTAGCTTTCATGTGGTGTTAAGCCTGCAGGCACACAGAATGCAAGATTAAAAAAGCCTTGGCAACCTCCACCTAAATTGCAGAGGATGTATGAGAAAGCCTCAGTGCTCAGGCAGAAGCATGCTGGAGGGCAGAGCTCTCATTGGAAACCTCCACCATGGTGGTGCCGAGGGTAGATGTGGGATTAGAACCCCCAAACAGAGTCCTCAGCGGGGCACTGCCTAGTGGAGCTGTGAGAAGAGGGCCACTATCCTTCAGACTGCAGAATGGCAGATCCACTGACAACTTTTACTCTACACCTGAAGAAGCTACAGGCTCTCAACAAATTGTTAGAGCAGCCATGAGTGCTGAACTGTGCAAAGCCACAGAGGCAAAGCTGTGAAAGACCTTGGGAGCCCAACTCTCACAACAGGTTTCCCTGGAAGTGGAACAGAAAGTCAAACATGACTACACTGGAGCTTTAAGATTTAATGCATATACGTCTGCTAGGATTTAGACTTGCATGGAGCATGTAGCTCCTTTCTTTTAGTAGATTGCACCCTTTTGGAATAGTCACGTTTACCCAATACCCATATTCACATCGTATCTTGGAAGTAACTGACTTGTTTTTTATTTTACAGGCTCATAGCTGGAAGGTACTTGCCTTGTCTCAGGTGAAACTTTAAGCTTTGGAATTAATTTTGGAATGAGTTAAGATTTTGGGGGTAGTGTTGGAAGATCATTATTCTATTTTGCAATGTGAGAAGGATATAAGATTTGGAAGGGCTGGGAAAGAATGATATAACTTGGATATTTGTCCCTACTCAAATCTCATGTTGAATTGCAATCTCCAATGCTGAAGGTCAGGCCTGGTGGAAGGTGTTTGGATCATGGGGGCAGATCCCTCATGGCTTGGTGCTGTCTTCACAACAGTGAGTTCTCACAAGATCTGGTTATTTAAAAGTGTGTGACACCTCCCTACTCCCTCTCTCTCTTGCTCTTGCTTATGCTTTCACCATGTAGCATGCCTGCTCTTCCTTTGCCTTTTGCCATAATTTTAAGCTTCCTGAGGCCTCTCCAGAAGCAGATACTGCCTTGATGCTTTCTGTATAGGCTGCAGAACTGTGAGCCAACCAAACCTCTTTTCTTTATAAATTATCCAGTTTTAAGGTTTTTTTTAATAGAAATACAAGAATGGACTAATAAAAAACATGGGGAGAGCTTCATGACTTTGGTGGGCAATTATTTTTTGACTGTACTTTTGGAATATGATCACCAAAAGCACAGACAACAAAAGGAAACATAGACAAATGGGAAGTCCATCACAAAAAAAGGCTTCTGCACAGCCAAAAAAACAATCAACAGAGCAAAGAGAAAACTTATGGAAGAAGAGGAAGTATTTGGAGACCATTTATGTAATAAAACATTCATAGTCCAAATATATTAAAAAACTCAAGAAACTCAAGAATTAAAACAAACAAATTTAATAATTGGCATAGAATCTGAATAAACATTTCTGAAAAGAAGACACACAAATAACATGTACATGAGAAGATGTTCAAAATCACAAATTATGAAAGAAATGCAAATTAAAATGACAATGAGACACCACCTGACACCTATTAGGATTACAATTATTCAAAAGGTGAAAGATAACATGTGCTACTCAAATTCTGGAAAAAAGTGAACACTTGCACACTGTTTTTCAGAAAATAAATTAGCACATTCAATGTGGAAACCAGTATGGACAGCACGGATTTTCCTAAAACATATAAAAAAAGAACTACCGTATGGTTCATTAATTCTATTATTGGGTATAAATCCAAGGAAATAAAATTAGTATGTTAAAGAGATATCTGAGCTACTATGTCCATTGCAGTATTATTCACAATAGCAAAGCTATAGACTCAATCTGAGTGTTCATCAACAAATAAATGGATTAAAAATGTGGTATGTATACACTATGAAATACTACTCTACCTTTAAATAAAAGAAAATCTTGTTATTTGTGAAATCATGGAAAAAACAAAAATACAATATGTTAAGTAAAATAAGCCAGGCACCGAGAGACAAATACTGTATGATTTCACTTATATGTTGAATCTAAAAAAGTTGAATGCATTGAAGTGGAGAGTAGAAGTGGAGATGATTACCAGGAGTTAAGTGTACGAAGTGTAGGAAGAGGGAAGATTGGAGATTTTTCTCAAAAGATACAAAATTTTAGTTAGAAGAAATCAGTTCAAGAGATCTACTGTACTACATAGTGACTATAGTTAATAACTTATTGTATTCTTGAAAACTGCAAAGAAAATAGATAATGTTCTCATCACAAAAATAAGTATTTTAAATAATGCATATATTAATTTGCTTTATTTAGCCATCCCATAAAATATTCATACCTTAAAACTACATTGCACATAATAAATATATGCTTTTTTAATTTTTCAATTAAAAAGTAAATTGTTAAAAAAAGTGAATAGAGGGAGGGGCAAGATGGCCAATTAGAAGGAGCTGCAGTCTGTGGTGCTCATGAAGAGAAATGAAAAGGGGAAAAAAAATTCAGCAACCTCAACTGAAATATCTAAATTCCTACATTGGGACTGAATAGGCAAGCAGCGTGGACTCATGGAGAGCAAGGAGATACAGAGAGTTGTAACAGCCCACCAGGGTGTGGAGTGGAGCCAAAGGAATACCGGCCTCCAGCCAGCGGAGGTGGTGAGTGATTATGCAATCCACCTTGAAAGCCATGCTTTTCCCACAGATCTTTGCAACCTGTGGATCAGGAGATCCCCTGTGAGCCCACACCACCAGGGCCTTGGGTCCGATACACAGAACTGTGTGGAGTCTCGGCAAAACAGCCACTCAGGCCCAACTAGAGACCCAGGAGATTTGCATACTCCAGGCCCTGGATCTCTGCCACGGTGGAAAATTTGTCTGTACGTACGTATTCCTAGAAAGGCAGCTGAATACAGGGAGCCAAGGAGCATCTTCTCTGTGGGCCCAACCTCCATAGCACCTCTGTGTCCGGAATTGGTGGGTTCTCGGTCTCACTGACATCAAGAATGAAGCCGCGGACCCTCTCGGTGAGTGTTAACAGTTCTTAAAGGCAGCGTGTCTGGAGTTTCTTCCTTCTGGTGGGTTCGTGGTCTCGCTGGCCTCAGGAGAGAAGCTGCAGACCTTCACCATGAGTGTTACAGCTCATAAAGGCAGTGTGGACCCAAACAGTGAGCAGCAACAAGATTTATTGCACAGAGTGAAAGAACAAACCCTCCACAATGTGGAAGGGAAGCCCAGCGGGTTACCACTGCTGGCTCTGGCAGCCTGCTTTTATTCCCTTATCTGGCCCCACCCACATCCTGCTGATTGGTCCATTTTACAGAGAGCTGATTGGTCTGTTTTACAGAGAGCTGATTGGTCCATTTAGACAGGGTGCTGATTGGTGCGTTTACAATCCCTGAGCCGGACACAAAAGTTCTCCACATCCCCACTAGATTAGCAAGATACAGAGTGCTGATTGGTGTATTTACAAACCCTGAGCTAGACACAGAGTGCTGATTGGTGCATTGACAAACCTTGAGCTAGATACAGAGTGCCCATTGGTGTATTCACAATCCCTTAGCTAGACATAAAGATTGTCCAAGTCCCCCCCAGATTAGCTAGATACAGAGTGTCCACTGGTGTGTTTACAAACCTTGAGCTAGATACAGAGTGCTGATTGGTGTATTTACAATCCCTTAGCTAGACATAAAGGTTCTCCAAGTCCCCACTAGACTCAGAAGCCCAGCTGGCTTCACCCAGTGGATCTCGCACTGGGGCCGCAGGTGGAGCTGCCTGCCAGTCCTGCGCAGTGTGCCCACACTCCTCAGCCCTTGGGTGGTCCATGGGACCCCTCGCGTGGAGCAGGGGGCGGTGCTCCTCGGGGAGGCTCAGGCTGCGCAGGAGCCCATGGCGGGGGTCGTGGGGGAGACTCAAGCATGGCAGGCTGCAGGTCCTAAGCCCTGCCCGCAGGGAGGCAGCTAAGGCCAGTAGAGAAATTGAGCACAGCACCGTGGGCCAGCACTGCTGGGGGACCCAGTGCACCCTCTGCAGCTGCTGGCCCGGGTGCTAAGCCCCTCACTGCCTGGGGCCGGCAGGCTGCGGGGCTGGCCCACCACTCTGAGCCTGGGGCCGGCAAGCCCACGCTCACCCGGAACTCTAGCTGGCGGCAAGTGCGGCAGGCAGCCCTGGTTCCCGCCCATGCCTCTCCCTCCACACCTCCCTGCAAGCTGAGGGAGTCGGCTCCAGCTGCAGCCATCCCAGGAAGGGGCTCCCACAGTGCAACAGTGGGCTGAAGGGCTCCTCAAGAGCTGCCAGAGTGGGAGCCCAGGCAGAGGAGGCGCCGAGAGCCAGCAAAGGCTGTGACGGCTGCTAGCACGCTGTCACCTCTCACCTCAGAGGTTAAGACCCACTCTAATGGAGTCCTAGTCAGACAATAGCAGAGGTCTGAAGTCCGCTGGAGACAGGACCACATTCCTAGGGGGAGGGGCAGACTCCATCTCTGCCATTGGGAGGACTCAGTTTTCCCAGCCTACTGGCTGTGGAGAGTACAGACCCCCAGGTGAGGAGAGTCCCCCCTGCCAAGGTGCAGCACAGCTGCCTTGTCAAATCATGGCCACACTGCTTCTTTAACCAGGGTCAAAACCCACCTCTCATTACTGGGTAGGTGTTCAATTACCTAGACAGACATCTGATCTTTCTGTGGGAGGGAGCTCCCAGAAGGAGGGGTGGCTGTCATATCTGCAAATTCCTAAACTCAGCCATTCCAGACTGCTAGCTGTGAAGAATACAGGTGGTCCAGTTGAAGTAGGGTTCCCCCTTAACCCAGCAAAACACACGTGCTCCACCAAGAAGCAGCAAGATTCTTTTATTGGGTCAGTACCATCCCTCTTGACTAACTGAGATCTCCCAGCAGAGAACCCCACCTGCCTCCTAGTGGTGCATGACTGGTGGCATGTCAGTGACCCCTGGGATCCAGCTTCCAGAGAGGGAAACTGGCTGCCATCTTTGCTATTTTGTAGCGTTCACTGGTGATACCTCCAGGTTTAGGAGAGCCCAAGGCAACTAGGGTCTGAAGCAGAGCCCCAGCAAACTGCAGAAGCCCTAGAGTAGAATGGACTGACTGTTAAAAGAAAGACAAACAAACAGAAAAAAAAATGACAGGAACAACATCAACATAAAAGACCCCCAAAAAAACCCATTCAAAGATAACAACCTCAAAGGTTAAAGGTAGATAAGCCCACAAAAACGATAAAGAATAAACACAAAAATGCCGCAAACTCCAAAAGACAGAGTGTCTCTTTTTCTCCAAATAACCGCAACACCTCTCCAGCAAGGGTGCATAATTGGTCTGAGGCTGAGATGGCTGAATTGACAGAAGTAGGCTTCAGAAGGTGGGTAATAACAAACTTTTCTCAGCTAAAGGGGCATGTTGTAACCCAATGAAAAGAAGCTAAGAATCATAATAAAACAATACAGGAGCTGATAGCCAAAATAGTCAGTTTAAAGATGAACATAACTGACCTAATGGAGCTGAAAAACACATGAGAGTTTCACGATGAAATCACAAGTATGGATAGCAGAATAGACCAAGAAGAAGAAAGAATATCAGAGCTAGAATACTATTTTTTTTCTGAAATAAGACAGACAAGAATATATTTTAAAAAAGAATAAAGAGGAACGAACAAAACCTCAGAGAAATATAGAATTATGTAGAGACCAAACCTATGAGTAATTGAGGTACCTCAAAGAGATGGGGAGAATAGAACCAAGTTGGAAAACATGCTTTATGCTGTCATCCAGGAGAACTTCCCCAACCTAGCAAGACAGGCCAACATTCAAATTCAGGAAATTCAGAGAACCACAGCAACATATTCTACAAGAAGATCAACCCTAAGACACATAATGATCAGATTCTTCAAGATAAAAATGAAAGAAAAAGTGTTAAGGGCAGCCAGAGAGAAAGATCAGGTCACCTACAAAGGAAACCCATCAGACGACCAGCGGGACTTCTTAGCAGAGACCCTACATGCTGAAAGAGATTGGGGGCCAATATGCAACATTTTTTTTAAAAAAAGAATTTCTGTCCTAGAATTTCATATACAGCCAAACTAAACTTCGTAAGTGAAGGAGAAATAAGATACTTTTCAAACAAGAAAATGCTGAGGGAATTTATCACCATCAGGCCTGCCATGCAAGAGCTCCTGAAAGAAGCACTAAATAAGAGAAGAAAAATCTACTGCCAGCCACTACAAAATACACTGAAGTACACAAACAAGTGACACTATGAAGCAACTACAAAAAACAAGTCTGCAAAATAACCAGCTAGCATCATGATGACAGGATCAAATCCAGAGATAACAATATTAATCTTAAATGTAAAAGGGTTAAATTGCCCTATTAAAACAAACAGAATGGGAAGTTGAATAACAAGTAAATACTCATTGTTATGCTGACTTCTAGAGGCACATCTCATGTGCAAAGAAACACATAAGCCCAAAATAAAGGGATGGAGAAAAATTTACCAAGCAAGTGGAAAACACAAAAAAGAAGAATTGTAATCTGAAACTATTCTGAATTTATGTACAAAATCTAGGAGTCTTTTTGAGAGTTTTCTAGGTATACAATTATGTCATCAGTGAACAGAGACTTCCTCTTTTCCAATTTAGATGCCTTTTCTTTCTTTCTCCTACCTGATCACTCCAGCTAGGACTTCCAGTACTATGTTGACTAGGAGTGGTGAAACTAGGCATCCTTGTCTTGTTCCAGTTCTTATAGAAAATACTTTCAACTTTTCCCTGTTTAATAATATATTGACTGTAGATTTGTCATAGATGGCTTTATTATTTTGAGGTATGTTCTATCTACGCCTAGTTTGTTGACAGATTTTATGATGAATGAATGCTTGATTTTATGCAATGATTTTTCTGCATCGATTGAGATAATCATATGGTTTTTGTTTTCAATTCTGTTTATGTGTTAAATCACATTGATCAAATTGAACACATTGAACTATCCTTTCATCCTTAAAACAAACCCATTTGGTTGTGGTGTATTGTGTTTTTGATGTGTTGTTAGATTCAGTTTAATAGCATTTTGCTGAGGATTTTGGCATCTATGTTTATCAGATATAATGACCTGTAGTTTTCTTATTTTATGTGTGTGTCTTTGTCTGGCTTTGGTATCAGGGTGATGCTGGCTTTGTTGAATGAGTTGGAGGGATTTCTTCCTCTTAACAGTTTTGGATCAGTTTCAGTAGGATTAATATAGTTATTTCTTGTATTTTGGTAGAATTCATCTGTGAATCTATTTTATATATTTTGGTTCAATTTCACTATTCATTATTGGTCTTTTCAGAATTTTTTTTAATTTCCTGGTTTAATATTGAGAAATTACATGTCTCCAGGAACTTATTCTTTTCCTTTAGGTTTTCTAGTTTGTGTGTGGAGACACTCTTGGTAGTCTCTGTTAATTTTTTTTTTTTAATCTGTGATATCAGTTATGTCACATTTAACGTTTCTGATTGTGCTTATTTAAAGGAACTGACTTTTCTTGTCATTAATCGTTTGTATTTTTTTTTGTTTCAATTTTGTTTTGTTCTTCCTTGATCTTCATTATTTCTCATCTTCTATCTTTGAGTGTACTTTGCTCTTGCTTTTTCCTGGTTACTTTAGTTTTGACATTAGGTTTTTAATTTTTGAACTCTATTTTTATGTAGGCATTGAATGCTATACACTTTCTTGTTAGCACTTCTTTTACTGTATCCCACAGGTTTGGATATTTTACGTGTCTATTTTTATTTTTATTTCTTAAATTTCAGCCTTATTTTTGTATTTTGACCAAACAATTATTCAGAAGTAGTTTGTTTCATTTCCATATATTTGTATAGTTTTGAGAGTTTCTCTTGGTATTAATTTCTAGTTTTAGTCCACTGTGGTCTGAGAAGATACTTGTTATGATTTTGATTTTTTAAAATTTATTGAGACTTGCCTTGTGGCCTAAGATATGGTCTATTTTTGAGAATGTTCCATGTGCAGAGAAGAAGAATATATATTGTATAATTGTTGGGTAGAATTTTATGTAAATGTCCTTTGGGCTCATTTGGTCTATGATTCAATTTAAATCCAATTTGTTGATTTCTTTGCTTTGATAATTTGTCTAGAGCTGTCAGTGGGGGATTGAGATCACCCACCATTATTGTGTGTTCTGGTGTTAGGTGCATATATATTCGGGTTTGTTTATATGTTCTCGTTGAATTGATCCATTTTTATTATGTAAGATCTTTCTTTGTCTTTTTGTTACTGTTGATTTAAAGTCTGTTTTATCTGACATAAGCATAACTACTCCTGCTTGCTTTTGGCTTCTGTTTTGTAAAAATAAATTTCACCTCTTTATGTTATAAATGTCTCTACCAGTTAGGTGGGTTTCTTGTTGGATCTTTTTTAAAATCAGTTCCACCAGTCTATATTTTTTAAGTGGAGCATTCAGTTCATTTACCTTCAAGGTTATTATTGATAAGTGAGGTTTTGTTCCTGTCATAATGTTAATTATTATCTAGCTCCTTTGGAATTGCAATTATGTATTGTGTAATAGCCTTATAAATCCTGCAAGTTTCATAATTTTATATCTTTTCATGATGATTAGTATTGCTCTTTATTTCTGTGTTTAGAACTCCTTTGAGCATTTCTTATATGTCCAGTCTAGTTGTGATGAGTTTCCTTCGTGTTTATGTAAGAAAGACTTTATAGCTGTTTTTTTTTCTGAAGCCTAGTTTAGCAGAATACAAAAGTTTGACTGACTTTTTTTTTTCAAGAAGAATAAAAACTGGACTTTAATATCTTCTGTCTTGTAGGATTTCTCCTGAGAAATCTACTGCTATTCTGCTAGGATTTCCTTCCTAGGTGATTAGACCCTTCTATCTTGTCGCTTTTCATTTTTTTTTCTTCATATGGACATTGGATAGTCTGATGGCAATATGCCTTGTTGAGGTTTTTCTTGCAATGTATTTTAAGGTGTTCTCTGAGTTTTCCATATCTGGATGTGCAAATGGCTAGCAAGACTAGGAAAGTTTTCTTAAATTTTTCCCTCCAACAGGTTTTCCATACATTTTACTTTTTATCTTCTGCCTCTAGATACCTATAATTCATAGGTTTAGAAGCTTTACACAGCCTCACAGTTCACAAAATCTTTGTTAATGTTTTTAGTTTTTTTCTATGTTTTTGTCTAACTGAGTTAATTTGAAATACCTATCTTACATCTCTGAGTGTTTTCTTCCGCTTGGTATAATGTATTGTTAAAGCTTTCAACTGTATTTTGAAATTTCTTCAATGAAGTTTTTATTTCCAGATGTTCTAGATTTTTAAAATATCCATATCTTCCTTCCTATCCTGAATTATTTTCCTGATTTATTTGTTTTGTTTTTCAAGTTTCTTTTAGATCTCACTGACCTTCCTTACAATCCATATTTAGAATTCTTTATCTGTCATTTCAGAATGTTTATTTTTATTAGGGTTCATTGCTAGAGAGTTGCTGTGATCCTTTGGAGGTGTCTTAATGCTCTTTTTTATACTGCCAGAGTTTTCATGTTAATTCCTTCTGATCAGGTGAAGTTGTCACTATTTTTTTTGGGTTGACTTCTGTTTAGATAAAACTTATCTTTCCCCTTGAGGATGTGACTTAATGCTTGCTGTGTATGATTGTGTGGCTTTGATTCTATGTGCTTTCAATGAACCAGGACTCTTTATGAGGTTTTTGGTTATAAATATCCTTTGTTTGGTTGCTTTCTCAAATGCTGGTTGTAATAGTGATGTACTGAGCATATGAGCAGTCTCACTTCCTTTTGCAAGACCCTGACTGCAGAGGTCTCATGAAGCTTATCTGGTTCCCCAGCACTGTGCACTTCTTCCAGATTTTGTATTGGATTGTGCAGTTTAGCGTCTTGGCCAGTAGATGGTGCCTACAGGTAATAGCTGGCTTTGGCAAAAACATGGGTATGACTTAATCTTGATCTTTGTTTACTGGGAGTTGCTTTCTGTTGTTTCAGGTGATTTGCTGGTCTGCGGACAGTCTGATGTGCTGTTTCCTCTTCAGCCCAGAGGGAGACAATTCTAGGTGTAACTGGACCCCCAAACTCACCCATGAATACCTCTGCGATGAGCACAGCAAACCACGATGGAAATGGTAAGGGGAGATCCTGATTAAATGCCCTGAGGTCCACACATAGGAGAGAGAGCTGCTAAACTCCAATTGTGAGACCTCAATATGTATTATATAAGGTATAAGGTAAAATGCTCAGGAGTGCTATGGAAGTATTTTCCTGTGTTATATTTAGGACAGACAGTATATCCAGATGCCACGTTTTCTATTATAGTAAATGATGGTTTATAAAAGTATTTTTTTTCCATTTAATCAATTTTGGGATCCCACTGGGTAAATTTATGCATGTACTCTAAAAATGGAAATTGTAATCTGGTGGGTATTCTGGGTTTGTTATCCAGATCTGGGCCATATCACATACCATTTTCAAAAGAATAGTTTCCCCCTTTTGTTTTGTAAACCTTCTCCTTTTTTTGTATCTGAGGGAGTCTGTTGAGCTTTTCTCAATATTGAGGGAGTTAATTTGAATATTTGGATTAAACAAGAGCTTAGAGAACTAAGTTTTTTAGTTAAGGCAGCTTTTTTAGCTACCTGGTCTGCAAAATGTTTGATTCTAGCTTCTTTATTTTTTGTAGTCATGACCTTTTTAAGGCTAAAGCTTTTGGCTTTTGAGTTATATCCAAGAGTTCTAAAACTTCTTTTGTGCTTTTTTAAGAGAAATTTTTAATTGTTGTTTTTGTATACTTTTTTTTTCTTTTCTACTTTTATCTTAGCTTCAGGGAATCCATGTGTCAGTTTGTTACATAGGTAGACTGAAAGCCAAAAAAATTTGATGTACAGATTATTTTAGCACCCAGGTAATAAGCATAGTACCCAATAGGTAGTTTGTTAACCCTCACCTTTCTCCTGCCTTCCACTCTCAAGTAGGACCTGGTATGTACTGTTCCTTTCTTTGTGTCCATGTGTACTTAATGATTAGTTCCCAGTTATAAGTGAGAACATACACTATTTGGTTTTCTGTTCCTGCATTAATTTACTTAGGGTAATGGCCTCCAGCTCCACCCATGTTGCTTCAAAGGACATGATCTAATTCTTTTTTATGGCTGCATAGTATTCCATTGTGTATATGTACCATATTTTCTTTATTTAGTCCACCGTTGATGGGCATTTAGGTTGACTCTATGTCTTTGTTATTGTGAGTATTGCTAAGATGAACATACATGTGCATGTGCCTTTATGGTAGAATGACTTATATTTCTTTGAGCATATACCCAGTAATAGAATTGCTGGGTGAAATGGTAGTTCTAAGTTATTTGAGAAATCTCCAAACTGCTTTCCACATTAGCTGATGTAACTTATATTCCCACCAATAATGTATAAGCTTCTCTTTTCTCCACAACCTAACAAGTATCTGTTATTTTTTGACATTTTAATAACAGCCATTCTGATTTATTTGAGATAATATCTCATTTTTGTTTTTATTTGCACTTCTCTAATGATTAGAGATGTTGAGCATTTTTTCACATGCATGTATGTCTTCTTTTCAGAAGTGTCTGTTAATATCTTCTGCCCATTTTTAATGAAGTTATTTATTTCTTGATTTGGTTGTTAATTTACGTTCCTTATAGATTCTGGATATTAGACATTTGTCAGATGCATAGCTTGCAAATATTTTCTCTTATTCTCTAGGTTGTCTGTTTATGCTGTTCATAGTTATTTTTGCTGTGTGGAAGGTTTTTTTGCTGTCTCAATAATCTGTCTAATATTTTCAGTGGGGCATTGAATTCTGCCCCTATTATTGTGTGGTTATCTAAGTGTCCTTGTAGGTCTCAAAGTAAGTAATTGTTTTATGAATCCATGTGTTCCAGTGTTGGGTGCATATATATTTAGGACAGTTAAGTCTTCTTGTTGAATTAAATTTTTTAAATTTAAATTTAAATTAGGTCCCATATGTCAATTTTTGTTTTTGTTGCAATTGCTTTTGGCAACTTCTTCATGAAAACTTTGCTAGTTTGTATAACCACAATGGCATTTTCTAGGATTTCTTCTAGAATTTTTGTAGTGTTAGGTTTTAAGTCTTTAATCCTGAGTTGATTTTTACACATGCTGAAACGAAGGGATCCAGTTTCAGTCTTCTGCATATGGCTAGCAAATTATCCCAGCACCAGGTATTGAATAGAAAGTCCTTTCCCCATTGCTTTTCTTGTAGACTTTGTCAAAGATCAGACAACTGTAGGTGTGCAAATTTATTTCTGGATTTTTATACTCTTCCATTGGTCTATGTGTTTGTTGTTTTACCAGTACCATGCTGTTTTTCTTACTGTAACCTTGTAACATAATTTGAAGTTGCATAGTGTGATGCCTCTGGGTTTTTTTGTTTGTTTGTTTGTTTTTTGTTTTTTTTTTTTTTTTGCTTAGTTTTGCTGTGGCTATTTGAGGAGTTTTTTTTTGGCTCTATATGAAATTTATATGTTTTTTAAAATTTTGTAAAAATATAGTTGGTAGTTTGATAAAAATAACATTGAATCTATAAATTGCTTTGGGCAGTATGGCCATTTTAACAATATTGATTCTTTCTATCCATGTGCATGAATGCTTTTTTTTTCCATTTTTTGTGTCATCTCTTATTTATTTCAGCAATGTTTTCTATTTTTTATTGTAGAAATCTTTCACCTCTCTGGTTAGCTGTAATCTTCGCTATTTCATTCTTTTTGTGGCTATTCTGAATGGAACTGTATCCTTGATTTGGCTCTCAACTTGAATGTTCTTGGTGCATACAAATGCCACTGATTTTTGTACATTGATTTTATATCCTGAAACATTGCTGGTGTTGTTTACCAGATCTTGGAGCTTTTGTCCAGAGCTTGTGGGGTTTTCTAGGTATATAATCATGCTCTCTGTGAAGAGAGATACTGTGATTTTCTCTTTTTTTTTTTTGATGCCTTTTATTTCTTTCTCTTCCTTGATTGTTCTGGCTAGGACTTTCAAAACTATGTTAAATAGGAGTGTGAGTGGGGATCCTTGTCTCATTCTGGTTCTTAAATGAAATACTTCCAGGTTGTGCCTATTCAGTATAATGTTGTCTGTGGGTTTATCATAGATGGTTCTTATTATTTTGAGATATGTTTCTTCAATGCCTAGTTTGTTGACAGCTTTTAACATAAAGGGATATTAAATTTTATCAAAAACCTTTTCCACATTTATTGAGATGATTGTGTGGCTATTGTTTTTAGTTTTGTTTATGTGATGAATCATATTTATTGATTTGAATATGGTGAACCAACCTTGAATCCCAGGAATAAGCCTATCTGATTATGTTGGATAAGCCTTTTGATGTGCTGCTGGATTCGGTTTGCCAGTACTTTGTTGAGAACTTTTGCATTGATGTTCATCAAAGATACTGGCCTGAAAACTTTATGTTGTTGCTTTTTTTTTTTTTTTGTCTCTGACAGATTTTGGTATCAGAATGTTGTTGGCCTAATATACCAAGGTAGAAAAGAGTCTCTCCCCTCTGGATTTTGGGAACAGTTTCAGTATGATTGGCCCAGCTTTTCTTTATATATCTGGTAGGATTTGCCTGTGATTTTTTTCTTTTTTTTTTTTTTTTTTTTTTTTGAGACGGCGTCTCACTTTGTCACCAGGCTGGAGTGCAGTGGTGTGATCTTGGCTCCCTGCAACCTCTGCCTACTGGGTTCAAGTGATTCTCCTGCCTCAGCCTCCTGAGTACCTGGGACTACAGTCACGTGCCACCATGCCCAATTAATTTTTGAATTTTTAGTAGAGACAGGGTTTCACTATGTTGGCCAGGATGGTCTCGATCTCTTGACCTCGTGATCCTCTCACCTCAGCCTCCCAAAGTGCTGGGGTTATAGGCGTGAGCCACTGCACCTGGCTCCTTGTCTTTGAATTTTTTGAGTACAGAACTTTTTCTACTTTGTAGGTTTTTTGTTATTCATTTGATTTCAGAACTCGTTATTGTTCTGTTTATCGTTTCAAATTCTTCCTGGTTCAATCTTGGGACTTTGTATGTTTCCAGGAATTTATCCATTTATTCTAGGTTTTCTAACTTGTGTGCATAGAGGTGTTTTTAGTAGTCTGTGAGGGTTTTTGCAGTTTTGTGGGGTCACTGGTACTGTCCTCTTTTTTATTTCTGCCTGTTTTTATTTAGCTCTCCTCTCTTTTTTTCTTTGTTAGACTTTCTAGCTGCATATCAATCTTATTTACTCTTTTAAATAACTAACTTTTTACATGTTTTTGTGTCTCAATTTTATTCAGATCAGCTCTGATTTGGGTTGTTTATTTTCTGCTGGCTTTTGGTTTGGTTTCCTTTTGTTTCTCTAGTTCTTAACATCTATTGTGATGTTGGGTTGTAAATCTGAGGTTGTTCTAATCTTTTGATGTGAGTGTTTCATGCTATAAACTTTCCTCTTAACACTGCTTTAGCTGTTTCTCAGAGATTCTGGTGTACTGTATCTTTGTTTTCATTATTTTAAAATAATTTCTTGATTTCTGCTTTAATTTCATTGTTTACCCAAAAGTCGTTCAGGAGAAGATTGTTTAATTTCCATGTAATTGTATGGTTTTTGGATATGTTCTTTACAGAGATTTTTATTTATTGGTATGAGAATGTGGAAGGTTAAATTTTATTCTTTAAAGTTTTGTTCAGAATTGTTCCATAGCTGATCATGTGTCATTTTTAGATTATGTGACATGTGCAGATGAGAAGATTAAATTTTCTATTGTTGTTGGGTGGAGTGTTCTGAAGATATTTGTTAGGTCCCTTTGGTCAAGCATCAACTTCAGGTATTGAATATTTTGGTTTGATTTATGTCTCAATGATCTGTCTAATATTTTCAGTGGGGTATGGAATTCTGCCTTTGTTATTGTGTGGTTATATAAGCCTCCTTGTAAGTCTCTAAGTACTTGTTTTATGAATCCAGGTGCACCAGTGTTGGGTGGATATATATTTAGGATAGTTAAGTCTTCTTGTTGACTTGAACCTTTTATCATTATGTAATACCCTCTTTTGTCATTATTTAATGCCATACAAAACATATTATAAATCTTTTTTTGATTTATAGTATATTTTGTCTGAAATTAGGATAGTAGCTCCTGCTCTTTTTCCTTTTCCATTTGCCTGCTAGATTTTTCTTCATCTCTTTACTTTGGGCCTATGGATATCATTGCATGTGAGATGGGTCCCTTGATAAAAGCAAACAGTTGAGCCTAGCATCTTTTTCCAATTTGCCATTCTGTGCCTTATAAGTGGGACATTTAGTCCATTTACATTCAAGGTTAATATTGATACTCACAGATTTGATTCTGTCATTGTGTTGTTAGCTGGTTGTTATGCAAGCTTGATTGTATAGTTGCTTTACAGTATCAGTAATACATGTATATAATTATGTGTGTTTTTTGTGTGGTCAATAATGGTCATTGGTTTACATGTTTAAAACTCCGTTAAGGACCTCTCATAAGTTAGCTCTGGTGGTAATGAATTCCTTTGGCATTTGCTTGCCTGAAAAGGATCTTATTTCTCCTTTGCTTATGAAGCTTGGCTTGGCTGGATTGAAAATTCTTGGTTAGAATTAAGTTTCTTAATAATGTTGGATACAGGCCCCAAGTCCTTTCTGGCTTGTAGGGTTTCTGCTGAAAAGTCCACTGTTAGCCGGATAGGGTTCCATTTGAAGGTGATTTCCCTCTTCTTCCTACCTACAGTAACCATTTTTATTTCTTTCATGTTAAACTTAGAGAATCTGATGACTATGTGTCTTAGGTATAGTTGCCTTGTATAGTATCTCTCAGGGGTTCTCTGCATTTCCAAAATTTGAATGTCTACATCTCTTGTGAGGTTGGGAAGGTTTTCATGGACAATATCCTCAAATATATTTTCCAAGTTGCTTTCTCTTTCTTCCTCTCTTTAAGGGATGCCAGTGAATCATAGCTTTAGTCTCTTTCAGGCCCCTCATAGGTCTCTCTCTTTAAGGAAAGCCAGTGAGTTATAGGTTTAGTCTCTTTACATAATCCCATATTTCTCGACAGTTTTGTTCATTCTTTTTTATTCTTATCTTTATTATTGTCTGGCTGAGTTGACTCAAAGAACTGGTTTTTGAGCTCTGAGATTCTTTTCTCAGCTTGATCTATTCTGTTGTGAATAATTTGGTTCTTTCTTAAAATGACTATATTATTTATTAACTCTGTATCACTTTCTTAAATTCCTTAGAATCCTTGGACTGGGTTTCAACTTTCTTCTGAATCTCAATGATCTTTATTCTTATCAAGATTCTTAACTCTATGTCTGTCATTTCAGCCATTTCAGCCTGCTTAAGAAACATTTTGGGGGAGCTAGTTCAGTCATTTGAAGGTAAAAACACACTCTGTCTTATCGAGTTTCTAGAGTTCTTGTGCTGTTTTCTTCTCATCTGTGTCAACTATTGTTTCTTTAATCTGTCAAGTTGCTCTCCTTTGAATGGGGTTTGTTGCTTTTAGATTATTTGATGCCCTTGAGAGTTTAACTGTGGCATATGTTGGATTTAGTTGACTTGCTTCATTTCCGGAAGATTTCAAAAGGCCAAGGTTCAACTCACCACTTTTGGGTTGTGTGTTTCAACCCCGAGGTGTGGTACCAGACACAAGGCTTTGTTCCATGATCCCTCAAGATTAAGCACTTGATGTGCTGGAGGGGCCATGCTATTCCAGATATACTGGAAACAACACTCTAATGGGAGGTTTCAGCCTAAGTGCTTCACCTGGGTGGTGGCAGTGGGGTCCACACTTTTCCCCACATTAGAGTGGCGGTAGCTGCATGGCATGTTGCACATGCACCTGCAGGGGTGGTTCAGTCGTGTTCACACATGCAGCAGAAACGTAGTGCAGTGCATGCATGATGGTTGGGGCAGGGGAACCGGGAGCATACATCTGTGTGCAGGCAGGAGCAAGGCAGCAGCAGTGGTGCCTACATGCCTTTATGATGTTCATTATCTATAGTATCTGACAGCTGTTCTCTGAATTTCTTGTATCTAAATGTCTACCTCTCAAGCAAGACTAAGGAAATTGTCTTGGATTCTGTCCTCAAATATGTTGTCCAGGTTATTTACATTTTTTCTCTTTGTCTCTCAGGAATTCCAATAATGCATAGGTTTGGTTTCTTTAAATAATTTTATATTTCTCTGAGACTTTGTTCATTTTAAATCATTTTTTCTTTGTTTTTGTCTGATGGGGTTAGTTCAAAGATTTGTCTTTCAGCTCTGAAATTCTCCTACTTGGTCTAGTTTATTGATAAAACATTTAATTGTATATGAAAATTCCTTAAGTGAGTTTTTAAATTCCAGATGCTCTGATTGTCTTTAAATGTTTTAAAGATGTTTATCTATTTCTTAATTTCCTGGATTACTGTCAAAGTTACTTTGTTTTGATTTTCAACATTGTCTTGATCTCATTGAGATTCATCACAATTTATGCTTTTAATTATTTATCTGTTATTTCCAAGTTTCCGTTTTGGTAATCCTTTGGTGGTGTTGCAGCATTCAGATTTTTCATGGTGCTAAAATTCTTACCATCTGGTTCCTTCTCATCTGGAGAGGCTGGCACTGCTGATATTCATCATTATTTTCTTCCAAATAGGATATTCTCTCTCTCTCTCTCTCTCTCTCTCTCTCTCTCTCTCTCCCTCCTTCCCTGCCTTCTTCCCTTCCTCCCTCCCTTCTTCTCAATTTATCTTACAATTTTTTTCCTTCCTAGGTGGTATGACTGTAAAGTAAGCTTTATGGGGCCTTTAGGCTTTGTTTCTAAAGTGCTATGCACTCTGTCAGAAGGTTTTATATTGGGCTGTGTGTTTTTACCCACAGGCCAGTAGATAGTGCTTGAGGATAAGAGTCACTTGTGGCACAAGCAGGTGAGTATATACGTGATAATCATTTAGTGTGTGGTGGTCTCTGTTGTTTCAGGTGAAGGGCTAGATGGTAGAGGTCCTGGTGTCCTGGGCTCTCCATTCTGCAGAAGTTGGGGGACAGAGTAGACAGAGCTGGAATCCATGACTTGCCCCAAAATACCCGAATGGTGACTGCAGGCATCAGCCATGATGAGTGTGGCTGAATGGCACCCCTACTGAAGTGCAATGAGGTCTCTGTGAGAAAGAGAGGAGGCTTCACTTGTTCCTTGTCCGAGATAGACAACAAACTTGATTTGTTGTTCCAGGGCTCATGACCACTAGTTCAGACACACACTGCAGTCTTTCTCAAGACCACAATTTGGTTGGTAGCCATGGGAAACATCAGTTTTATAACTCCATGAAAGTGGTTGCAGGGCATAACCTTATCATTCAACCTCATACAGACTTTTTATGGATCATCTGTTCAATGAGGCAGTGCTGTTGCTATTGCAGAACTCTCTCCTTAGTTAAGCTAAAACTGGGTTCTTGTCACATGACCAGGAAAGATGAGGCTCACAGATACATAGAAGGGTGAGAAGTGGAATTTATTGGGTGAAAAGGGAGAAGGAAACACAACTCAGCAAAGTAACATGGAGTCTTGCTAATAGGCTGTCCACCTCACCAATTGATTCCCACATTTCCACATAAGCTGAAGAGAGCAGGCTCCTCCCCTCTTTAAGGTATGAATTTCTGGTGGCTCCACACACTTTCCCCAGTAAACATGTTTGGTTCCAGTCTGTTGTGGGCATGCCCAGATAAGCCCGGGGCAGGTTCCCTCATCTGCACAAGTGTGATGTAAACACTTCTGGGGCAGATTGGAGATTCTCCAGGGACCCCTTTTTATCTGCCTAGGCATTTGGCTGTCTCATTTCCCCCTCTAAAGAAGTACATCTAACTGTCATTACAATAAGGATAAGGATAAGGATAAGCATAAGGATAAGGATAAGGATAAGGATAAGGATAAGGATAAGGATAAGGATAAGGATAAGGACAAAGACCGATCGTGTAATCGCTTCCTGCTGACAGGGGGCGCTGTTTTGGGAAAACGGCAGTCAGTTCTTTTTCAGAGGTCTATCTAATGGTTCCTGGCAAAAGGGGGTCATCATCCGAGGCTCTGGTTGCATGACTGGAGTTTAATGGCCTGAAGGTGAGAAGAGAGAAACCAGGTTATTAAGAAACATGCGTCAAAATGAAACAAGGATGGTAAGGATAACTCAAAAATCCTGAGGACTTTTACCGGTTTTCACAGAGAGAGGGAGGCCAAAAGCCCAGCTGGCAAAAAAACCTTTTACTCTTTTGTTGGCATGTCAGGCCTTTGGGTTCCCATTCCCCGAACCCAATCCTAAGCCAACCAGTTTAAGGTTTGAAAAATTAATTTTTCCTAGTTTGAAGAATGCATCTGAGGGAAGTGTCCATAGTACAGAGACACAATTACCTATCAGAGAAGAGAGGACAGAGAAGGAAGGAGGAAAAAAAGGAGGCATTTTTTTTTTCCAAAGGAGTCCCAGGGTTCAGGATGCATTCGAAGTGGGTACAGATTGAAGATGAATGGCTACACATTTAGAAAGAGGGGAGCAATCATCCCTGGTTCCTTTCTCTTCCTAGCAAATACTTGGGGTACGTGAGGAAGGGAAAGTGAGACGTTCTTTCTTTTCTCCATTCTTGTATCACTTAGTCCCAGTGACCATGAGAGGGTGCCACCCATAGGTGTCACCTTGGCTTTCACCCATGTTAACAGAGGGGCCTAGGGGATGGCAGTATCTGTTCTTACCCATGTGCATCCCGTTTCCCCTGCCTAGACCTCATTACTGCCATGGATACTAACATGACCTTTATTCATGAAATGGGAAGCTTGGCTTAATCAGCAGGAATCAGTCATGCTGACTTATGATGTGCCTTTTAACTTCAGTTATCATCTGCCTCTGTATTCTTCAGATCTGGCTTTTATTCCTAGGGCTTTGACCTGAAGCTTGGAATTGAATTTGAGACAAAAATGTGTCTCAGGTGGGTTGCATCGACTCCTTATCATAAGCTGAATACTAAGATGAAGCTGTGGAATTGAGTCCTCCTTCAATAAGGGAGTGAAAATGATGTCTTGTGACATGCCCAGATAACTAGTGGCTATAGTTATGCTAACTAAGATTTGGGTGCATGGGATTTGGCTTTGTTTAGCTCATTTGGTCTTACTTTCCCAAAAAGGAAAATTCTGGGTGATGGCCACCCTATTTATTCCCATCACCTGGCAGGATCTGCAAGATAATTGCTCAGAACTAGAATATTGATCCAGATTTTTACATCACCCATCCCTTTTGTTCTTTCTGAGCTGCAGCCAGAGATTGCTGGTTGGTTCACAGGAACAAGTAGGGTTAGTCTAAAATCTAGGCAAAATCTTGAAAACAACTAATGACTGTAAAATTCAATGACAAATTTATAACGTTTGAAACATAATTTATCTCTCTGCAGCCCTTATTTTTGTTAAAAAACAAATCATGATAGGGCTGAGTTGTTTGCAAAATAGACTTTAGTCTTATACTTGGCCTGATTATTCACGTAAACTGCTGCAAGAAAAATTATTTCTACATAGGCCTTTTAGATTGGCTTTGATGGAACTCTGTTCCACAAGGAATCTCAGATAAGACCTTTTAAAGCTGAGCCCAGCCATGGGTTTGTATCCTCAAATACCTGTTAGTTGGGTAATCCTCTTCTCTTATGGTCCCAAGATAAACTTGGAGCTCCTTGGCCTGTCAGAAGTGACATTCTTTACTTACCACAGGTCAGGAACCCTTTACAGGGACTGCGTAGACAAGAGTATGAGGCCAGATTTCCCAGGGGCTTTTATCGTCTCTGCAAGTCAAGCTTGACTCCTTAAAGGAAAGGATACCCTTCCAGTCAAAGCACTGGTAATACAACCAGTTTCTCCAATTGCATCATGTTGCAAAAGAAAATTGATTATTATTGCACTGATGCAAACAACTATGTTGCCATAAGTTAAGAATACTCACAACTGGTTTCCAAATTCTGGAGAAGCCAGGCAGAAAGAGAGGGACAAATATGCTCCAAATTTTGTTCACAGGAGTATACATTACTCAATTATTAAAGGTCATAAATAGTTCAAAATAAGTTTCCTTGACTCTGAAAAACAAAACAAGGATCAGCGATATTCCAAGCAAAAGTCAAAAAGATTGCTTCAGTTGTGTATGAGTTCAGTCCATTTACTTAAATCTTGTTTTGTTTGATATTTGTGAACATTTCAGCTCTACATGAGTCCTGTGCATTTTTCCTACATTCCAATGTCACAATCTCCAAATTTATCAGAAACCTGCATTTGAGAGCACCTGTCAAAATTCTATAGCTAATTATAAACCATTTTTGAAGAAGATCAAAACAAGACAGCAATTGTCTGTGAATAACAAAATATCCAGGGTAGTTACAGTGAGAAATGCAATTCACAAAGAAGTTTGGTTATCTCCATGGTTTAAAATAACTTCACATAACAACCTGAATTATGATTGATAACATATACTCAGACATTGGAATTGTAGACATTCTATACAATTTTGGAACTTATATTAGTATTATTCACTAAATAACCTGAAGAAGATTAAACATCATTTTGGCAATCCCGTATACCTAAACATGTCAAATAATCCCATTTACCTCTCTTTTAGATACTCCAGTGGCCCTCTATAGCTTCCAAAAGCCAGATGTCTGTCAGGAACAGCAATTTTTTTTTTTTTTTTTTTGAGATGGAGTCTTGCTCTCTCACCCAGGCTAGAGTGCAGTGGTACAGTCTCAACTCACTGCAACCTCCACCTCTCAGGTTCAAGTTATTCTCCTAATTCAGCTTCCCAAGTAGCTGGGATTACTGGTGCCTGCCACCATGCCCAGCTAATATTTGTGTTTTTAGTAGAGATGGGGTTTCACCATGTTGGCCAGGCTAATCTCAATCTCCTGACATCATATGATCCACCTGCCTCAGCCTCCCAAAATGCTGGGATTTCAGGTGTGAGCCACAATGCCCAGTCAGGAAATGCAATTTTGAAACTGAAGTTTGATTTGGGAAAGCCTATTAAATATGTTAGAGATTTAAAACACAATATATTATGAAATAGAATTCCAGATTAAAATAAATTATTTTGCCAAAATGACGACTCAGAAATTTAAAAAAGGAAAAACCTTTTATAATACTTTACAAATTTTGCCAAAGAGCAGATTAGTGCCTTAAGAATACCTTGTTGTGCTTTTATTTCAATGCTCAATTTACAGAAAAACCGTATAATACCCTTTTGAATTTAGTCAATATGTTCACACATGGAATGTTTGCAAGATTAATGTTGACATTCCTTCCATCTTATGTTTGAACTTTTAGATTTATTTTATTTCATTCAAAACAATCCTTTAACCCTAGGCAAGAATTTACATTTCTATACCTTCTTATAATATCTTATTAAAAAGATATTTTACTGTTCTTACACACCTCACATATAAATCTATATCCAATAGTCTCAATTATGTGTCACAATGGTATCCTTTAGCAATTTTTAACTTTAATGTAAAACCCGGTAAGTTGTTTCACTTATGTGCTAGGTGGAGCCAAGGTTTGACTCCTTCCAGCATAATTATGGGGTGGTTAATTCCATATGTCCCCAGGTCTTACCAAGTTGAACAGTTCTCAAAAACCAAAAAAGTAGTTTATAACCTTTAAATATTTAGCCAACTTATTATCTAACCTGCATAATTTAGTCCACTTATTTACATTTTGATGACATCTGCATTTTACCAATAGTCTTTAAGAGTGTTTTTATTTCTCAAAGATTAAAGTCGCTTGAACTGAGCAGTACCACAGCTTTTATCTTCCCTTTTAAAAATATTTGATTCAAGCAGTTATCTTCCTTTAGACCAATAAATTTGAGTTTTTTTAAAATAGACATTATACACACAACATATATATAGCTACACAGGCAGAAGAAAGTCCAGCAGCCATAGATTTTTTGTTTGCCAATCTCCTAATTGGATTATTACCTTCTGAGTGTAGCCCTTTAAGAAACAGGTCTAGGAAAGCAAGCATCTTTTAAGGCCTAATAAACAGGCATGACTGGGAGGCAAAAACAGATTTTGAGAAGGATCTATCTGCTTTTAATTCCTGGGGTTCCATGAGAAAAACAGGTTTCTTCCCAAAACAGTGTTAATGGCACCTCTTCTGTTTTTCCCAAGGAGTCCCATGCCCCCAGCAGTTATTTTAGGGCCTCTCAGGCATGAATTAAGAGTGGCAAGGCAAAACGGAGAAAAATAATTCAGTCGACTGAGAAAAAGCCCTTTTCCAGTAAAGTAGGGTCCCAGAAGAGAAAAAAACAAAAAGGCCTTTAAAATATACATATAACTTGGATATCCACTTTTGATTAAGCTGAGCACTCTCTAAGAAAATTCTTTTAACTCCCTTATTACTCAACTTTAGCCACGCCAAACAGGCAATATTTCTGGCTTTCAAACTTTACTAAAAGTATCCTCACAGGTGAAACCAACAAGCCTCAATTAATGTTATAATTTAACTGTGAGTGTATGAGGTATTTTCAAAGGGGGTAAGTAGTTCTTACACAATTTAGGACTTTTTTTTTAAATAGCAGAAATTTATTGTCTCACAGTTCTTAAGGCCAGAAATCCAAGATCAAGGTGCCTGCATGGCCATGCCCTCTCTGAAGGCACTAAAGAAGGATCCGTTCCAAGGTTCTCTCCTGGCCTCTGTAGTCCTTGGCTGCGGGAGCATAACTGTAATCTTCACGTGGCATTCTCCCTGTGTGTGTTTCTGCATCTAAGATTCTCTTTTTATAAGGACACCAGTTATATTTAATTAGGGGCCCACCCTACACCAGTATGACCTAGTCTTGACTAATTACATGTGCAACCACCGTATTTCCGAATAAGGTCACATTTTGAGGTACCAGAGTTTAGCACTTCAACATATGCATTTGAAGGGGACACAATTAAATCCATAACAGCTCTCTTTCTTATATTCTTATGATATTAGAGTGCATGCTAAACGATACAAATGCTTCAGCAGAGATTACTAGGGACAGGGTGCAGTATGGGAAGAGGAAAGTGAGCCAGAGAGAGGCTATACTTAGGGACAGATGTGTCCACAGCCTGTCTCTGTCCTGCTCAAACTCAGGTGGCGTAAACAAAGGCCAAACTTTTGTAGAAATTCAAGTAGACGCCGATAGAAACAATACGATTTCCACCCATGTATTTATCATCTTCTCAGGCCATCAGCCCCAAGTGAATTACTTTTTTTCTTTTTTTCTCACCCTATGTGTCAGAATCACACGTCTTCCCACCAGGAGAGGAAACCTCCTAGGTACTTTTGTGTAAGTAAGCTCGTTAGGAAAAAGTAACCTATTTAAGTGAATTAATGAAAGACTTCTGGATGCTGTGCAAATTAGGCCTGCATAATATGAATAAGGGAGAAAAAAATGTGCTGTGGTTTTACAGAGAGGTGGGAAATGCCCTCAGCATTTATTATACTTAATGATGAGATATTGTTGCTAGGTGGTTTGAAGGATAAAGTTTACATTAATAATATGTGATGCAATGAATCTACATTAGTGTGAAAAATTATTTTATTTACCTTTATGCAACCTATCTGGTCTACTTATTACATGGTTTATTTTTTGTTATTTTTTTTATTGTACTTTAAGTTTTAGGGTATATATGCGCAACGTGCAGGTTACTTACATATGTATACATGTGCCATGTTGATGTGCTGCACCCAGTAACTCGTCATTTAACATTACGTATATCTCCAAATGCTATGCCTCACCCCTCCCCCAACCCCACAACAGGCCCCAGTGTGTGATGTTCCCCTTCCTGTGTCCATGTGTTCTCATTGTTCAATTCCCACCTATGAGTGAGAACATACAGTGTTTGGTTTTTTGTCCTTGCGATAGTTTGCTGAGAATGATGGTCTCCAGCTTCATCCATGTCCCTACAAAGGACATGAACTCATCATTTTTATGGCTGCATAGTATTCCATTGTGTATATGTGCCACATTTTCTTAACCCAGTCTATCATTGTTGGACATTTGGGTTGGTTTCAAGTCTTTGCTATTGTGAATAATGCCGCAGTAAACATACGTGTGCATGTGTCTTTCTAGCAGCATGATTTATAATCCTTTGGGTATATACCCAGTAATGGGATTGCTGGGTCAAATGGTATTTCTAGCTCTAGATCCCTGAGGAATCACCACACTGACTTCCACAATGGTTGAACTAGTTTACAGTCCCACCAACAGTGTAAAAGTGTTCCTATTTCTCCACATCCTCTCCAGCACCTGTTGTTTCCTGACTTTTTAATGATTGCCATTCTGACTGGTGTGAGATGGTATCCCATTGTGGTTTTGATTTGCATTTCTCTGATGGCCAGAGATGATGAGCATTTTTTTCATATGCCTTTTGGCTGCATAAATGTCTTCTTTTGAGAAATGTCTGTTCATATGCTTCGCCCACTTTTTGATGGGGTTGTTTGTTTTTCTCTTGTAAATTTGTTGGAGTTCATGGTAGATTCTGGATATTAGCCCTTTGTCAGATGAGTAGATCGCAAAAATTTTCTCCCATTCTGTAGGTTGCCTGTTTACTCTGATGGTAGTTTCTTTTGCTGTGCAGAAGTTCTTTACTTTAATTAGATCCCATTTGTCAATTTTGGCTTTTGTTGCCATTGCTTTTGATGTTTTAGACATGAAGTCCTTGCCCATGCCTATGTCCTGAATGGTATTGCCAAGGTTTTCTTCTGGGGTTTTTATGGTTTTAGGTCTAACATTTAAGTCTTTAATCCACCTTGAATTGATTTTTGTATAAGGTGTAAGGAAGGGATCCAGTTTCAGCTTTCTACATATGGCTAGCCAGTTTTCCCAGCACCATTTATTAAATAGGGAATCGTTTCCCCATTTCTTGTTTTTGTCAGGTTTGTCAAAGATCAGATGGTTGTAGATATGCAGCATTATTTCTGGGGCTCTGTTCTGTTCCATTGGTCTATATCTCTGTTTTGGTACCAGTACCATGCTGTTTTGGTTACTGTAGCCTTGTAGTATAGTTTGAAGTCAGATAGCGTGATGCCTCCAGCTTTGTTCTTTTGGCTTAGGATTGACTTGGCAATGTGGGCTCTTTTTGGTTCCATACGAAGTTTAAAATAATTTTTTTCCAATTCTGTGAAGAAAGTCATTGGTAGCTTGATGGGGATGGCATTGAATCTATAAATTACCTTGGGCAGTATGACCATTTTCACGATATTGATTCTTCCTACCCATGAGTATGGAATTTTCTTCCATTTGTTTGTATCCTCTTTTATTTCATTGAGCAGTGGTTTGTGGTTCTCCTTGAAGAGGTCCTTCACATCCCTTGTAAGTTGGATTCCTAGGTATTTTATTCTCTTTGAAGCAATTGTGAATGGGAGTTCACTCATGATTTGGCTCTCTGTTTGTCTGTTATTGGTCTATAAGAATGCTTGTGATTTTTGCACATTGATTTTGTATCCTGAGACTTTGCTGAAGTTTCCTATCAGCTGAAGGAGATTTTGGGCTGAGATGATGGGGTTTTCTAGATATACAATCATGTCATCTGTAAACAGGGACAATTTGACTTCCTCTTTTCCTAATTGAATGCCCTTTATTTCCTTCTCCTGCCTGATTGCCCTGGCCAGAACTTCCAACACTATGTTGAATAGGAGTGGTGAGAGAGGGCATCCCTGTCTTGTGCCAGTTTTCAGAGGGAATGCTTCCGGTTTTTGCCCATTCAGTATATTGGCTGTGCGTTTGTCATAGATAGCTCTTATTTTGAGATATGTCCCATCAATACCTAATTTATTGAGAGTTTTTAGCAAGAAGGTTGTTGAATTTTGTCAAAGGCCTTTTCTGCATCTATTGAGATAATCATGTGGTTTTTGTCGTTGGTTCTGTTTATATGCTGGATTACGTTTATTGATTTGCATATGTTGAACCAGCCTTGCATCCCAGGGATGAAGCCCACTTGATCATGGTGGATAAGCTTTTTGATGTGCTGCTGGATTTCGTTTGCCAGTATTTTACTGAGGATTTTTGCATCGATGTTCATCAGGGATATTGGTCTAAAATTCTCTTTTTTGGTTGTGTCTCTCCCAGGCTTTGGTATCAGGATGATGCTGGCCTCATAAAATGAGTTAGGGAGGATTCCCTCTTTTTCTATTGATTGGAATAGTTTCAGAAGGAATGGTACCAGCTCCTCCTTGTACCTCTGGTAGAATTCGGCTGTGAATCCATCTGGTCCTGGACTCTTTTTGGTTGGTAAGCTATTAATTATTGCCTCACTTTCAGAGCCTGTTATTGGTCTATTCAGAAATTCAACTTCCTGGGAGGGTGTATGTGTAGAGGAATTTATCCATTTCTTCTAGATAAAATTTAGGACCTTTAAAAGTAACCCAGAGAAAGGAAGATTTAAGAAAAAGTCTGGAAGTTGTTCACAGAGGAGAAGAGAATCAGTAAAAGGTCATGCAGATATCAAACCATAAAGGACTCATTCCCTAAGCCAGGAACAAACCCAGTTGCCATTGTAAAATGACAGAAGCTAAGACAAAACATGGCCACTTGGTTACAAGTCATGCTCCTAATGAGATAAAACAAGATGGAGGCCTGCAACAAAGTTTGCTACTGACGACACAGAAAATAATGCAAACTACACCAGGTTGATTACAGCTCAAGACCAATCTCACAAATCCCTTTTCATAATGACAACTTTAGGGAGAATATAAACAGTGATCCTTATAATTCCTGGCTGACTAAAATGTCTTATAAAATGAAAAAAAAAATAACTCGCTTAAACGTTAACTGCTGACAGCATAGAGAAAAAGAGAAGTTTAAAGTGCGGGATTGGAAAGATACCTCTTATTCTTATACAAATTGGTTCCTGCAAAAGAGAGAGAAACGTAATTGCTGTCCAGTGGGCCATGGGCCATGCGCCCCAGCCCTGGCCTGGAGGAAAGCAGGGGAGCCACCATTTGTCCATCCATCCCATGCACACCTGAAGCTGTTGGGTTGAGGTAGTTTGTAGTTTTCTCTACCCTCAGAAGAAGTCTGAGGAGAAAAAGGCTTAGAAAGGAAAAGAGAAATATTTTTTGATTCACATCTTACTCACAGTTCCTCAAGCCCTATGACTAGACAACAACAACAAAAAATGCTGCATAACTTTCTTCTTAGTTCAGCTACAACTGGGTTCTTATCACATGACCAGGAAACATTAGGCTTATGGACACATAGAAGGGTGAGAAGTGGAATTTTTTTTTTGTGCAAAAAGGAAAAAGGAAAAACAACTCAGCAAAGTGAGATGGAGTCCTGCTAACAGGCTCTCCACCTCACCAACTTATTCTCACAGCTCCACAGGAGCTGAAGAGAGCAGGCTCCTCGCCTGCATAAGGTACAAATTCCCCATGGCTCTACCCACTTCCCCCAGTGTGCATGTCGGGCTCCAGTCCAATGTGAGCATGCCCAGACAAGCCCTGTGCAGGTTTTCTCATCTGCACAAAAGCATTTAATGTAAACACTTGTCGGGTGGGTTGGAGATTATCCAAGGACCCCTTTTCATCTGCTTAGGCATTTGGCTGTCTTATTGTTTCTTGTAAAGGAGGGCTGTTTGTGCCAGTGTAAGTGGGTGTTGATTGTGGCAGAGTCAGCTGGTGGGGTTAGCCTTACCTCAGGCCATGATTAGGTGCCAGCAGAGTTGAAATGGGATGGATATTTCCTTCCTTTCCAGGCCATTAGATGGCCAACTGTACAGTGCTTATGAGTCTTGAAGAGGCTGGACTAGGGTCAGGCTATCCCAGTGTTCAGATGCTGGCTGTGATGGAGAAGGATGGGCTGGTCCCTGTGTCACCAGCTGAACTCTCACGCTGGAGAAGACAGAAGTCTTAGGTGGTAAAGGCCAAAGGAATATCATAGGTCTGTGGGAGGTGAATTTTCAGAAGGGCACTGAGCGCGGTAAAATGTTCAGGCAGAGGTAAGTAAACAAGTTATGTTGGGTGAGTTTCTTATGTATTTTATATAATTACCCCTTATCAGATATACGGTCTACAAACATTTTTTCTACATTCATAAACTGCCTTTTCATTTTGTTGATTGTTTCCTTTGCTTTGCAAAAGCTTTCAGTTTGATGTAATTCCACTTTTTTGGTTTTCTTTTGCTTTGCTTCTGTTGCTTGAGCTTTGGATATAATATCCAAAATATCATTAGCAAGGCCAATGTCAAGGAATTCTTCCCTCTGTTTTCTTCTAGGAGTTTTTCTGTTTAATTTATTATGTTTAGATCTTTAATTCATTTTTAATTGATCTTTGGTTATGGTGTAAGATCATGTCTAATTTTATTCTTTTGCTTCTGGATATTCAATTTCCAAAGATCATTTATCAAAGAGACTATATTTCCCCACTATGTATTTTTTGCCTCCCTTGTTGAAAATTGGTTGATCATTTATGCAGAAATTTACTTATGGGTTCTGTATTCTATTCCACCTGTCAAGATGACTGTTTTTATTCTAGTACCATACTGTTTTGATTACTGTAACTTTGTAGTATATTTTTTGAGATGGCATCTTGCTTTTTCACAAAGCTTGAGTGCACTGTTGTGATCATAGCTACTTGCAACTTCAAACTCCTGTGCTCAAGTGATCCTCCCACTTCTGTCATCCAAATAGCTGGGATCACAGGCATTTGCCACCATGTCTGGCTAACTTTTTTTTTTTTTTTTTTTTTTTTTGAGACGGAGTCTCGCTCTGTCGCCCAGGCTGGAGTGCAGTGGCGGGATCTCGGCTCACTGCAAGCTCCGCCTCCCGGGTTCACGCCATTCTCCTGCCTCAGCCTCCCAAGTAGCTGGGACTACAGGCGCCCGCCACTACGCCCGGCTAATTTTTTTGTATTTTTAGTAGAGACGGGGTTTCACCGTTTTAGCCGGGATGGTCTCGATCTCCTGACCTCGTGATCCGCCCGCCTCGGCCTCCCAAAGTGCTGGGATTACAGGCGTGAGCCACTGCGCCCGGCCCTGGCTAACTTTTTAATTTTTGTAGTTATGGGGTCTCAATATGTTGCCCAGGCTGGTCTCAAACTTCTGACCTCAAGCAATCTTCTTGCTTTGGCCTCCCAAAGTGTTGGGATTGCAGGTGTGAGCCACCACACTCAGCCAGCTTTGTAGTATATTTTATTATCCTGAACTGTGATGCCTTCAGCTTTGCTCTTCATTCTCAGGATTGCTTTAGTTTTCAAGGATAGCTTGCAGTTTTACACAAATTTTAGGACTGTATTTTCTATTTCTATGAAAAATGTCATTGGAATTTTTATATGGATTGCATCGATTCTGAGATTGATTTAGGTAGTATGGACATTTTAACAATATAAGCTCTTAAAATCCATGGACACAAGATACTTTTTTTTTTCATTTTTGGTGCCTTCCTCAATCTCTTTTCCCAATGTTTTAGAATGTATAAAACATCGTGTATAGTGTACACATACCACATAATTTTTATACATTAGTGTACAGATCTTTAACTTCCTTGGTTAAATTTATTTTTAAATAGTTTATTCTTTTCTTTGCTCTAGTAAATAGGATTTTTTTCTGATTTCCTTTTGGAAAAAAATAGTTATTATTGTAAAGACACAAAACTGACTTTTGCACATTGACGTTGCATTCTGCAACTTTACTGAATTCATATATTGACCCTAACAGATTTTGCATGTGGAATGTTTAGAATTTCCTACATATGGGATCATGTCATATGCAGAGATAATTTTACATCTTCCATTCTGATTTGGATGCCTTTACTCCTTTTTAAAATATGGTTGTTCTTTCTAGTTCTTCCAGTATTATGTTGAATAGAAACAGCAAGAGTGTTGCATCATTGCAGTGTACTGGATCTTACAAGAAAACCTTTCTGTTTTCCCTATTAAATAACGATGTTAGATGTGGGCTTTTCATCAATGACCTTAATTGTGTAGAATAAATTTCTTTCTATGCCTATTTTGTTGAAAACTTTTCTCTTACAAATGTGTTAAACTTTGTCAAGTGCTTTAACTGAATCTAATGAGATGATTACGTGGTTTGTCATTTCTTTTGTTAATATGGTATATCACATCTATTTGTATATATTAAACTAATCTTGCATCTCAAGGACAAGTCCCACTTGGATTTAGTTTGTTAGGATTTTATTGAGAATTTCTGCATTTATATCCATTCGTGATACTGGCTTATACTTTTCTTTGCTTGTGATGTCTTTGTCTTTGTTATCATTTTATGAGTCCAGAAGTAATTCTTCTACTCATATTTTTAGAAGCACTTGGTAAAGATTATTAATTAATTGAATATTTGATAGAATATTTGTCTGGCCCTAGGATTTTCTTTGTTAGGAGGTTTTTGATTACTTCTTTAGTCTCATATTTTGTTACTAGGCCGTTCAGCCTTTCTATTTCTTCTGGATATGATCTTGGGAGATCTTATGTTTCTAGGAATCTATCCATTTTCTTTAGGTTATATAATTTGTTTGCATATAATTTTTCATAGTAGTCTTTTATTTCTAAGACATCCATTGTAATGACTCTTCTTTCATATCTGATTTTTGTTATTCGAGTATTTTTTTAGATAGTGTAGCTAAAGGTTTGTCATTTTTGCTTATATTTTTACAACGAAAACCCAGTAAGTTTGTAAATTTCTTTCTATAGATTTTTAAATTGAAACATATTGATTGTACATACCTGTGGGGTGTATGTAATATTTTAATACATGCATGCAATGTGTAATTATCAAATAAGTTCATTTAAGATATCCATCATCTGATTTATCATTTGTGTTAGAAATATTTTAAATATCTTATAGATTTTTGACATATGTAATAAAGAATCATTAACTATAGTCACACTATTGTGCTATCAAACACTAGGACTTGGAGCTTTTGTCTAACTGTATGCTTGTACCCATTAACTAACCCCTCTTTATTCTCCTTTGCACCGTTCCCAGACTCTGATAACCATCATTTTGTTCTACCTTCATGAGAACAACTATTTTAGCTCCAATATATGAGTGTTATTCTATAGTTTTTCCTATTTTCTATTTGATTTATTTATAGTCTCATTATTATTGTTCTTTTCCTTCTGCTAACTATGAGTTTTTTTTCTCTAGTTTCTTGAGGTGGAAAGTTGGGTTTTTTAGTTGATATATATTTTTTTCTTCTTAAGTGGAGGCATTTATTGCTATAACCTTCCCTTTTGGAACTGCTTTTGCTGCATCCCAGACATTTTAATAATTTTTTTTAATCTCAAGATTTGTTTTAACTTCCTTTGGATGTCTAACTTGACCCAGTTGGTTGTTTAAGGGTAATTTTGGGAGGATTTATCTCGGGGGTTTTCTTGAACATATTTTGTTTCTTCATTTATCTTGAATCTGTGTATTGGTTTATGTGTATTGGTTTATGTGCATTGGATAAAACAACCCCCTCTCATTGTCTTGACAGACTAGCCTTCTGTAGAAGACGGACCTCAACAATCAGCATATCCAGTGATTCTAGGTGCCTCTCAAACCTTTGTACTTGGCCAAAGTGTATTTTGTTGTTGTTGTTCTTAGTGATCTCTCAGAGATTTGGATGCACCAAGTTCTCTCATGCCCTGAGACAGGTGAGATAGAAGCCATTTCCTGAATATGCAGTTGAAAAATTTGAGTTGTTACATGTGTGTTTCACTTTCTTCTGTCATTAGGAAGAAGTTGGGAAGTGGAGTCTATTAACTGTGCACTAAACCACAGAGAGAATCTGTGCAAACATATGCACACTTCTTTAGACAGTACAGTTTTTCAACCCGTTGGTTTGCTCTTTGTTACCTTCAGGGGCCCAGCAAATGCTAACTAACCTCCATCTACTCTCAGAGACAAGCTGGCTAGCTAGAGGATTGATTTTATTTCTGGAGTGAGAACATGAAAGAAGTTGTGAAAGTGCCTACATGACTGTTGAGGCTCCCAGAGAACTACTAATTGCCTATTCCAGCTATTTGAAGACTTATCCCAAAGGCAGCATCAGAGAATATTGGGACATTATGTGAAAAGCAGGAGCTGGGTGTTTTTGTCTGCTCATTCTACACTGAGCCAGTGGAAATATCCATTTTAAGTGCTGCTATTCCTGTTTGTTTATTTTTATTTATTTATTGTTATGTTCAATTTCTGTGGGTACATAGTAGGTGTATATATTTATGAAGTCCATGAGATGTTTTGATATAAGTATACAATAGGAAATAAGCACATCATGGAGAATGGGGCATCCATACCCTCAAGCATTTATCCTTTGAGTTACAAACGATCCAGTTACACTCTTTAAGTTATTTTAAAATGTGCGATTAAGTTATATTATTGTCACCCTTTGTGCTATCAAATAGCAGGTCTTATTTATTCTTTCTAACTATATTTTTGTACCCATTAACCATCACCACCTGCCTCCCACTACCCTTCCCAGCCTCTGGTAGCAAATTTTCTACTTTCTACGTACATGAGTTCAACTGTTTTGATTTTTAGGTCTCATAAATAAGTAATAACATGTGGTGTTTACGTTTCTGTGTCTGGCGTATTTCACTTAACATAATGATCTCCGGTTTCAACCATGTTGTTGCAAATGACTGGGTCTCATTCTTTTTTATGACTGAATAGTATTCCATTTTATATATGTACCAAATTTACTCTATCCACTTATCTATTGGTAGACATTTAGGTTCAAATCTTAGCTATTGTAAACAGTGCTGCAACAAATAGAATGTATTTGATATACTGAGTGACTTTCTTTTCAGTACATACTCAGTAGTGGAATTGCTGGATCATATGGCAAGTACATTTTTAGTTTTTATAAGAACCTCCAAACTGTTCTCCATTGTGGTTGTACTACTTTACATTTCCACTAACAGTGTTTGAAGGTTCCCCTTTCTCCAAATTCTCACCAGCATTTCTTATTGCCTGATTTGGGGATAAGCCATTTTAACTGGGATAAGATGATATCACATTTTAGTTTTGATTTACCTTTGTCAGATGATCAATGATGTTGTGCACCTTTTCATATGGCTGTTTGCCATTTGTACATTTTCTTTTGAGAAATGTCTGTTTAAATCTTTTGCTCATTTTTTGATCAAATTATTAGATATTTCCTCTAGAGTTGTTTAAACTCCTTATATATTCTGCTTACTAATTCCTTGTCTGATGGGTAGTTTAAAAATATTTTTGCCCATTCTGTGGATTGTCTCTTCACTTTATTGATTGTATCTTTTGCTGTGCAGAAGCTTTTTAACTTCACGTGATCCCATTTGTCCATTTTTGCTTTGGTTGACTGTGCTTGTAAAATATTGATCAATAAATATTTTTCAGTCCAATGTAGTAAAGATTTTCCCTAATGTGTTCTTGTAGTAGTTTCATTGTTTGAGGTCTGATTTAAGTCTTTTATATATATATATACACATATATATATATACTTTAAATTCTAGGGTACATGTGCACAACGTGCAGGTTTGTTACATATGTATACATGTGCCATGTTGGTGTGCTACACCCATTAACTCATCATTTACATTAGGTATATCTCCTAATGCTATCCCTCCCCCCTCCCCCCACCCCACGACAGGCCCCCGTGTGTGATGTTCCCCTTCCTGTGTCCATGTGTTCTCATTGTTCAATTCCCAACTATGAGTGAGAACATGTGGTGTTTGGTTTTCTGTCCTTGTGATAGTTTGCCGAGAATGATGGTTTCCAGCTTCATCCATGTCCCTACAAAGGACATGAACTCATCATTTTTTATGGCTGCATAGTATTCCATGGTGTATATGTGCTGCATTTTCTTAATCCAGTCTATCATTGATGGACATTTGGGTTAGTTCCAAGTCTTTGCTATTGTGAATAGTGACACAATAAACATATGTGTGCATGTGTCTTTATAGCAGCATGATTTATAATCCTTTGGGTATATACCCAGTAATGGGATGGCTGGGTCAAATGTCATTTCTAGTTCTAGATCCCTGAGGAATCACCACACTGACTTCCACAATGGTTGAACTAATTTACACTCCCACCAACAGTGTAAAAGTGTTCCTATTTCTCCACATCCTCTCCAGCACCTGTTGTTTCCTGACTTTTTAATGATTGCCATTCTGACTGGTGTGAGATGGTATCTCACTGTGGTTTTAATTTGTATGTGTCTGATGGTCAGTGATGATGAGCATTTTTTCATGTGTCTTTTGGCTGCATAAAAGTCTTCTTTTGAGAAGTGTCTGTTCATAACCTTTGCCCACTTTTTGATGTGGTTGTTTGATTTTTTTCTTGTAAATTTAAGTTCTTTGTGGATTCTGTATATTAGCCCTTTGTCAGATGGGTAGATTATAAAAATTTTCTCCCATTCTGTAGGTTGCCTGTTTACTCTGATGGTAGTTTCTTTTGCTGTGCAGAAGCTCTTTAGTTTAATTGGATCCCATTTGTCTATTTTGGCTTTTGTTGCCATTGCTTTTGATGTTTTAGTCATGAAGTCTTTGCCCATGCCTATTTCCTGAATGGTATTGCCTAGGTTTTCTTCTAGGATTTTTATGGTTTTAGGTCTAATATTTAAGTCTTTAATCCATCTTGAATTAATTTTTGTATAAGGTGTAAGGAAAGGATCCAGTTTCAGCTTTCTACATATGGCTAGCCAGTTTTTCCAGCACCATTTATCAAATGGGGAATCCTTTCCGCATTGCTTGTTTTTGTCAGGTTTGTTAAAGATCAGATAGTTGGCCAGGCGCGGTGGCTCATGCCTGTAATCCCAGCACTTTGGGAGGCCGAGGTGGGTGGATCACGAGGTCAGGAGATCAAGACCATCCTGGCTAACACGGTGAAACCCTGTCTCTACTAAAAATACAAAAAAAAAAAAAGAAAATAGCCTGGTGTGGTGGCAGGTTCCTGTAGTCCCAGCTACTCAGGAGGCTGAGGCAGGAGAATGGCATGAACCTGGGAGGCGGAGCTTGCAGTGAGCCGAGATCATGCCACTGCACTCCAACCTGAGTGACAGAGCAAGACTCGGTCTCAAAATAAATAAACAAATAAAAGATCAGATGGTTGTAGATATGTGGCATTATTTCTGAGTGCTCTGTTCTGTTCCACTGGTCTACATCTCTGTTTTGGTACGAGTACCATGCTGTTTTGGTTACTGTAGCCTTGTAGTATAGTTTGAAGTCAGGTAGCATGATGCCTCCAGCTTTGTTCTTTTTGCTTAGGATTGTCTTGGCAATGCCAGCTCTTTTTTGGTTCCATATGAACTTTAAAGTAGTTTTTTCCAATTATATGAAGAAAGTCATCAGAGCTTGATGGGGATGAATTGAATTGAATTGAATCTATAAATTACCTTGGGCAGTATGGCCTTTTTCACAATATTGATTCTTCCTATCCATGAGCATGGAATGTTCTTCCATTGTTTGTGTCCTCTCTTATTTTGTTGAGCAGTGGTTTGCAGTTCTCCTTGAAGAGGTTCTTCACATCCTTTGTAAGCTGGATTCCTAGGTATTTTATTCTCTTTGAAGGAACTGTGAATAGGAGTTCACTCATGATTTGGCTCTCTGTTTGTCTGTTATTTGTTCATAGGAATGCTTGTGATTTTTGCACATTGATTTTGTATCCTGAGACTTTGCTGAAGTTGCTTATCACTTAAGGAGATTTTGGGCTGAAAAGATGGGGTTTTTTAAATATACACTCATGTCATCTACAAACAGGGACAATTTGACTTCCTGTTTTCCTGATTGAATACCATTTATTTCTTTCTCCTGCCTGATTGCCCTGGCCAGAACATCCAACACTATGTTGAATGGGAGTGATGAGAGAGGGCATCCCTGTCTTGTGCCAGTTTTCAAAGGGAATGCTTCCAGTTTTTGCCCATTCAGTATGACATTGGCTGTTTTTTTTTTTTTTTGTCATAAGTAGCTCTTATTATTTTGAGATACGTCTCATCAATACCTAGTTTATTGAGAGTTTTTAGCATGAAAGGCTGTTGAACTTTATTGAAGGGCTTTTCTACATCTATTGAGATAATCATGTGGTTTTTGTCTTTGGTTCTGTTTATATAATGGATTATGTTTATTGATTTGCATATGTTGAACCAGCCTTGCATCCCAGGGTTGAAGCCAACTTGATTGTGGTGGATAAGTTTTTGATATGCTGCTGGATTTGGTTTGCGAGTGTTTTATTGAGGATTTTTGCATCAATGTTCATCAGGGATATTGGTCTAAAATTCTCTTTTTTTGTTGTGTCTCTGCCAGGCTTTGGTATCAGGATGATGCTGGCCTCATAAAATGAGTTAGGGAGGATTCTCTCTTTTTCTATTGATTGGAATAGTTTCAGAAGGAATGGTAGCATCTCCTCTTTGTACCTCTGGTCGAATTTGACTGTGAATCTGTCTGGTCCTGGAATTTTTTTGGTTGGTACACTATTAATTATTGCCTCAATTTCAGAGTCTGTTATTTGTCTATTCAGGGATTCAACTTCTTCCTGGTTTAGTCTTGGGAGGGTGTAGGTGTTGAGGAATTTATCCATTTCTTCTAGATTTTCTAGTTTATTTGCATAGAGGTGTTTATAGTTTTCTCTGATGGTAGTTTGTATTTCTGTGGGATCGATGGTGATATCCCCTTTATCATTTTTTATTGCGTCTATTTGATTCTTCTCTCTTTTCTTCTTTATTAGTCTTGCTAGCGGTCTATCAATTTTGTTGATCTTTTAAAAAACCAGCTCCTGGATTCATTAATTTTTGAGGGGTTTTTGTGTCTCTATCTCTTTCATTTCTGCTCTGATCTTAGTTATTTCTTGCCGTCTGCAAGTTTGCTCTTGCTTCTCTAGTTCTTTTAATTGTGATGTTAGGGTGTCAATTTTAGATCTTTCCTGCTTTCTCTTGTGGCCATTTAGTGCGATAAGTTTCCCTCTACACACTGCTTTGAATGTGTCCCAGAGATTCTGGTATGTTGTGTCTTTTTTCTCATTGGTTTCAAAGAACATCTTTATTTCTGCCTTCATTTCATTATGTACCCAGTAGTCATTCAGGAGCAGGTTGTTTAGTTTCCATGTAGTTGAGTGGTTTTGAGTGTGTTTCTTAATCATGAGTTCTAATTTGTTTGCACTGTGGTCTGAGACACAGTTTGTTATAGTTTCTGTTCTTTTACATTTGCTGAGGAGTGCTTTACTTCCAACTATGTGGTCAGTTTTGGAATAAGTGCGATGTGGTGCTGAGAAGAATGTATATTCTGTTGATTTGGGGTGGAGAGTTCTGTAGATGTCTATTATGTCCACTTGGTGCAGAGCTGAGTTCAAGTCCTGGATATCCTTGTTAATTTTCTGTCTTGCTGATCTGTCTAATGTTGACAGTGGGGTGTTAAAATCTCCCATTATTATTGTGTGAGAGTCTAAGTCTCTTTTTAGGTCTTCAAGGACTTGCTTTATGAATCTGGGTACTCCTGTATTGGGTCCACATATATTTAAGATAGTTAGGTCTTCTTGTTGAATTGATCCCTTTACCATTATGTAGTGGCCTTCTTTGTCTCTTTTGATCTTTGTTGGCTTAAAGTCTGTTTTATCAGAGACTAGGATTGCAGACCCTGCTTTGTGTTGTTTTCCATTTGCTTCATAGATCTTCTTCCATCCATTTACTCCCTTTATTTGGAGGCTCTGTGTGTCTCTGCACGTGGGATGGGTTTCCTGAATGCAGCACACTGATGGGTCTTGACTCTATCCAATTTGCCAGTCTGTGTCTTTTAATTGGAGCATTTAGCCCATTTACATTTAAGGTTAATATTGTTATGTGTACATTTGATCCTGTCATTATGATGTTAGCTGGTTGTTTTGCTCATTAGTTGATGCGGTTTCTTCCTAGCATCAATGGTCTTTACAATTTGACATGTTTTTGCAGTGGCTGTTACCGGTTGTTCCTTTCCATGTTTATTGCTTCCTTCAGGAGCTCTTGTAAGGGAGGCCTGGTTGTGACAAAATCTCTCAGCATTTGCTTGCCTGTAAAGCATTTTATTTCTCCTTCACTTATGAAGCTTAGTTTGGCTGGATATGAAATTCTGGGTTGAAAATTCTTTTCTTTAAGAGTGTTGAATATTGGCCCCCACTCTCTTCTGGCTTGTAGAGTTTCTGCTGAGAGATCCACTGTTAGTCTGATGGGCTTCCCTTTGTGGGTAACCCGACCTTTCTCTCTGGCTGCCCTTAACATTTTTTCCTTCATTTCAACTTTGGTGAATCTGAGAATTATGTGTCTTGGAGTTGTTCTTCTCTAGGGTTATCTTTGTGACGTTCTCTGTATTTTGTGTATTTGAATGTTGGCCTGCCTTGCTAGGTTGGGGAAGTTCTCCTGGATAATATCCTGCAGAATGTTTTCCAACTTGGTTCCATTCTCCTTGTCACTTTCAGGTACACCAATGTTCGTTTCTTTTTACTCTTTTTTCTCTAAACTTCTCTTCTTGCTTCATTTCATTCATTTGATCTTCGATCGCTGATACCCTTTCTTCCACTTGATCAAAATGGCTACTGAAGCTTCTGCATGTGTCATGTAGTTCTCGTATGATGGTTTTCGGCTCCATCAGGTCATTTAAGGTCTTCTCTATGCTGTTTATTCTAGTTAGCCATTCATCTAATCTTTTTTCAAGGTTTTTAGCTTCGTTGTGATGGGTTTGAACATCCTACTTTAGCTCAGAGAAGTTTGATATTACCAATCATCTGAAGCCTACTTCCGTCAACTCATCAAAGTCATTCTCCCTCCAGCTTTGTTCTGTTGCTGGCGAGGAGCCGTGTTCCTTTGGAGGAGAAGAGGCACTCTGATTTTTAGAATTTTCAGCTTTCCTGTTCTGGTTTCTCCCCATATTTGTGGTTTTATCTACCTTTTGTCTTTGATGATGGTGACCTACAGATGGGGTTTTGGTGTGGATGTCCTTTTTGTTGGTGTTGATGCTATTCCTTTCTGTTTGTTAGTTTTCCTTCTAACAGTCAGGACCCTCAGCTACAGGTCTGTTGGAGTTTGCTGGAGGTTCACTCCAGACCTTGTTTGCCTGGGTATCACCAGCAGAGGCTGCAGAACAGCAAATACTGCACAACAGCAAATGTTGCTGGCTGATCCTTCCTCTGGAAGCTTCATCTCAGAGGGGCACCCCACTGTATGAGGTATCAGTCAGCCCCTACTGGGAGATTTCTCCCAGTTAGGCTCCTTGGGGGTCAGTGACCCACTTGAGGAGGCAGTCTGGCCATTCTCAGATCTCAAACTCTGTGCTGGGAGAACCACTACTCTCTTCAAAGCTGTCAGACAGGGACGTTTAAGTCTGCAGAAGTTTCTGCTGCCTTTTGTTCAGCTATGCCCTGCCCCCAGAGGTGGAGTCTACAGAGGCAGGCAGTCCTACTTGAGCTGCGGTGGGCTCTACCCAATTCGAGCTTCCTGGCTGCTTTGCCTACTCAAGCCTCATCAATGGCAGATGCCCCTCCCCCAGCCTTGCTGCCGCCTTGTGGCTTGATCTCAGACTGCTGTGCTAGCAATAAGTGAGGCTCCATGGTCATAGGACCCTCTGAGCCAGGCACAGAATATAATCTCCTGGTGTGCCATTTGCTTAGACTGTTGGAAAAGTGCAGTATTAGGGTTGGAGTGTCCCGATTTTCCAGGTACCATCTGTCACGGCTTCCCTTGGCTAAGAAAGGGAATTCCTCAACCCCTCACACTCCCCGGGTGAGGTGATGCCCTGCCCTGCTTCGGCTCACACTCCATGGGCTGCACCCACTGCCCAACAAGCCCCAGTGAGATGAACCCTGTACCTCAGTTGGAAATGCAGAAATCACCTGTCTTCTGTGTCACTCATGCTGGGAGCTGTAGACTGGAGCTGTTCCTGTTCAGCCGTCTTGGACCTGAGAGCCTGATTTAAGTCTTTAAACCATTCTGATTTGATTTTTGTATATGGTGACAGATATGGGTCTAGTTTCATTCTTCTGCATCTGGATATTCAGTTTTCCCAGCACCGTTTACAAAAGAGACTTTCTTTTCCTCAGTGTGTTTTCTTGGAGAATTTTTCGAAGATGAGCTCCCTGTAGGTGCATGGATTTGTTTCTGGATTGTCTATTCTGTTCAAATGGTCTATATGTCTGTTTTTATGCCAGTATCATGCTGTTTTGATTACTATAGCTCTGTAGTATAATTTTCAGTCAGGCAATGTGATTCATCCAGTTTTAATATTTTTGCTTAAAATAGCTTTAGCTATTCTGGGTCTTTTGTGGTTCCATATAAATTTTTGGATTTTTTTTTCTATTTATGTGAAGAATGTCATTGGTACATTGATAGAGATTTCACTGAATCTATTTTGAGCAGTATGAACATTTTAACAATATTGATTCTTCCAATCCATGAACATAAAATATTTTTCTTTTTTTTTTTGGTGTCCTGTTCAATTTCCTTCATCAGTGTTTTATAGTTTTTATTATAGATTTATTTCACTTCTTTGGTTAATTCTTGGTATTTAATTTATGTGTGGCTATTACTTTTTTACTTCTATTTTACATTGATTACTACTGACATATAGAAATGCTACAGAATTTTGCATGTTAATTTTGTATCATGCAACTTTGAATTTGTTTATCAGTTGGAATAGCTTTTGGAGGAATCTTTGTTTTTTTTTTTCAAATATAAGTTCACATCATCTGCATACAAAGATAATTTGACTTCTTTCTTTCCAATTTGGATCCCCTTTATATCTTTCTCTTGTCTGATTGCTCTACCTAGGACTTCCAGTACTATGTTAAGTAACAGTGGTGACAGTGAGCATCCTTGTCATGTTCCATATCTTAAGGAAAAAGCTTTCAATTTTCCCCATTTAGTATGATACTAGCTGTGGGTTTGTTATATTCGGCATTTATTGTGTTTAGATATGTTCCTTCTATTATCAGTTTTTTTTAGGGGGGGGTTTATTATGAAGAGATGTTGAATTTCATGAAATGCTTTTTTGGCATCAATTTAAATGAATATATGGATTTTATCCTTCATTCTGTTGATATGTTGTGTCAATTTGATTTATATGTATAATTTGATCAATATTTGCTTCCCAAGAATAAATTCCACTTGGTCATGTTGAATGATATTTAAAATGTATTAATTATTGAATTCTGTTCGCTATTTTGTTGAGAATTGCTGCATCAATATTCATCAGAAATATTGTCCTCTAATTTTCTTTTTCAGATATATCCTCACCTGGGTTTGGTATTGGGGTAATACTAGCCTCATACAATGAGTTTGCAAGTATTTTCTCCTCCTATAGCTTTTGGAATTGTTTGAGTAGGATTGCTATTCATTCTTCTTGCAACGTTTGGTAGAATTCAGCAATGAAGTGATCAGGTTCCAAGTTTTTTTTTACTTGGAGACATTTTATTACACCTTTGATCTCATTACTTGTTATAGGTATGTTCAGATTTTGGATTTCTTCCTGGTTCAATCTTTGTATGTTGTATGTATCTAGGAATGTGTTCATTGATTCTATATGTTCCAACTTATTGAAATATAGTTTCTCACAGTAGCCACTAATGATCCTTTGAATTTCTTCACTATCAGTGCCTCCGTTTTCATTTCTGATTTTATTTATTTGGATCTTCTTTCCTTTTTTTCTTAGTCTTACTAATGGTTTGTCAAATTTGTTTAACTTTTAAAAAGCACTTTTTTGTTTTGTTGATCTTTTGTACTATTTTCATTTCAATTTCATTTATTTCTCATCTGATATTTATTATTTCTTTTTTCTATGAATGTTGGATTTGGTTTGCTTTTGCTTTTCTAGTTCTTTAAAATTTACCATTAGATTGTTTTTTTTTTGAAGTTTTTCCTGTTTCTTGATCTAGGCACTAATAGCTCTTAACTTCCCTGTTAGTATTGCTTTTGCCATATTTTTTTTGTATGTTGTGTTTCCATTACCATTTGTTTCAAGAACTTTTTAATTTCCTTCTTAATTTCTTTATTGACCCACTGACCATTCAGGAGCATATTGTTTAATTTCCATATATTTTTCCAAATAATATTCCAAATAATTCCCATTTTTTTTGTATGTTGTGTTTCCATTACCGTTTGTTTCAAGAACTTTTTAATTTCCTTCTTAATTTCTTTATTGACCCACTGACCATTCAGGAGCATATTGTTTAATTTCCATGCATTTGTGTAGTTTCCAAAATTCTTCTTGTTTTTAATTTCTAGTTTTATTCCATTGTGATCAGAGGAGTTGTTTGATATTATTTCAATTTTCTGTATGTTTTGTGATTTTTCTGTAACTTAACATATAGTCCATCCTTGAGAATAATTCATGTGCTGAGAAAAACAATGCATATTTTAGAGCTCTTGAATGAAATGTTCTGTAAATATCTATTAGATCTGTTTGGTTTATTATGCAGATTAAGTCCGATTTTTTGTTGTTGTTGATTTTCTGTCAGGAAGATCTGCCCAATGCTGAAAGTGGAGTGTTGAAGTTTTCAGCTATATTGTATTGAGGCCTATATATCTCTTTAGCTCTAATAATATTTCCTTTATATGTCTGTTTGCTCCAGTGTTGGGTGCATTTATATTTAAATTTGCTGTATTTTCTGACGGAATAGACACTTCTTTCATTATATAGTGTCATTCCTTGTTTTTTTTTTTTCAGATTTTTGTCTTGAAACTTATTTTGTCTGATATAAGTATGGCTACTCCTGCTTTTTGGTTTTCATTAGCGTGAAATCTGTTTTTTCATCTCTTTATTTTTAATATACGTGTATCTTTATAGGTGTAGTGTTTTTCTTTCAGGGAACAGATCAACGGGTATTGTTCTTTAATATATTCAGCCATTTATTGTCTTTTGATTGGAGAGTTTAGTTCATTTACACTCAGTGTTATTATTCATAAATAAGAACTTACTCCTGCAATTTTGTTATTCTTTTCTGGTTGTTTTATGGTCTTCTATTTTTTCTTTCTTCCCTTCCTGTCTTCCTCTAGTAAAGGTGATTTTCTCTGGTAATATAATTTCGTTTTTTTTAATTTTTACTTTTTGTGTCTCTACTGCATGCTTCTTTGGTTTGAGGTTACCACGAGTCTCATGAATATTATAACTCATTATTTTAATCTGATAACAACACTATTTACATAAACAAACAAAAAAACTAATAAAAACTCTGTGCCTTCTCTTTGCTTCTCCCACTCTGCTTTTTAACTTTTTTTATTTCTACTTCTGTATCTTTTAGTACTTAGTATATCTTCAAAAGTTGTTGAAGCTATTGTTTTTATTGGTTTGTCATTTAGTCTTTCTACTTAGGATAAGAGTAGTTTACACACTGCCATCACAGTGTTATAATATTCTGTGTTGTTTTTCTGTGTAGTTACTATTGCCAGTGAGTTTTATACCTTCAGGTGATTATTTATTGCTCATTAATGTCATTTTCTTTCTGACTGAAGTACTCCTTTTAGCATTTCTTGTAGGACGAATCTGGTATTGATGCAGTCTCTCAGCTTTTGTTTCTCTGGAAAAGTCTTTATTAATCCTTCATATTTGAAGGATAACTTAATTGGATATACTATTCTAGGATAAAATATTTGTTTGCTTCAGCACTTTAAATATGTCACGCCACTTTCTCCTTGCCTGTAAGGTTTCCACTGAAAATTCTGCTGCCAGATGTATTAGAGCTCCATTGTATGTTGTTTCTTTTTTTTCTGGTTGCTTTTAAGATCCTTTCTTTATCCTTAAGCTTTGGGAGTTGAATTATTAAATGTCTTGAGGTAGTCTTCTTTGGGTTAAATCTACTTGGTGTTCTATAACCTTCTTGTACTTGGATACTGATACCTTTCTTTAGGTTTGAGATGTTCTCTGATACTGTCCCTTTGAATAAACTCTCTACTTCTATCTATTCTTTTACCTCCACTATAAGGACAGCAACTCTTAAATTTGCCCTTTGGAGGATATTTTATAGATCCTGTAAGTTTGCTTTATTGTTTTGTATTCTCTTTTCTTTGGTCTCCTCTGACTGTGTAATTTGAAATAGCTTGGCTTCGAATTCATTAATTCTTCTGCTTTCTTAATTCCGGTATTAAAAGTCTCTAGTGTATTCTTCAGCATGCCAATTGCATTCTTTTCAGCTCCAGAATCTCTGCTTAATTCTTTTAAATTATTTTAATCTCTTTGTTAAATTTACCAATAGAATTCTGAATTTATTCTCTCTATTACTTTACGTTTCCTTGCTTTTTCTCAACAGGTATTTTGAATTCTCTGCAAGGTCACATATCTCTGTTTCTCCAGGATTGGTCCCTGGTGCCTTATTTAGTTCATCTGATGAGGTCATGTTTTCCTTGTATACTAGTAGATGTTCTTCAGTCTCTATGCATTCCTCAAAGAACTACCCTTTAACCCAATATTTGTTATTGGGTGTATACACAAAGGAATGTAAACCATTCTACCATAAAGACATAGGCACACATATGTTCATTACAGCACCATTCACAGTAGCAACTATATTTGATATGGATTGCCTATATCCCCACCCAAATCTCATCTTGAATTGTAACTCCCACAATTCCCAAATGTCGTAGGAGTAACCTGGTTGGAGGTGATTGAATTATGGGGATGGATCTTTCCCATGCTGTTCTCACGATAGTGAATAAGGCTCATGAGATCATATGGCTTAACAAACAAACAAACAAAAAAAACAGGAGTTTGCCTGCAGAAGTCCCCTCTTTGCCTGCCACCATCCACACCATCCACATAAAATATGACTTGCTCCTCCTTGTCTTCCACCATGATTGTGAGGCTTCCCCAGCCACATGGGACTGTGAGTTCTCCATTAAACCTCTTTCTTCTGTAAATTGCCCAGTCTTGGGTATGTCTGTATCAGCAGCGTGAAAATGGGCTAATACAATATTGAATCAACTTAAATGCCCATCAATGGTAGGCTGGATAAAGAAAGTGTAATACATATACACCATGGAATACACCCTGGAATACTATGTAGCCATAAAAAAGAACAAGACCATGTCCTTTGCAGGAACATGGATGGAACTGGAGGCCATTATCTTCAGCAAACTAACACAGGAACAGAAAACCAAATATTGCATATTCTCACTTATAAGGCGGAGCTAAATACTGGGAACACAGGGACAGAAAGAGGGAGACAACAGATACTGGGGCCAACTTGAGAGAGAAGGGTGAGAGGATGGAGAGGTTCAGAAAAAAAAGAAACTGGTACTATGCTTTAGTACCTGGGTGATAAAATTATCTGTACACAAAACCTGAGTCATGAGTTTACCTATGCAACAAACCTGCACATGTAGCCCTTAAACTAAAATAACAGTTAAAATATTAAAAATTAAAAAAATAAATTCCAACCAATAATTTTATATCCCACCACACAAAGGTTTATAAATCAAAGATAAATAAAATCTTTTGCAGACAAACAACTGTTAAAGAAATTCATCACCACTAGACCACCTCTACAAATGGTCGTTAAAGAAGTTCTAAGCATGTAATCAAATGAGCCATACCTGATAACACAAAATCACACTTACGTACATAGCTCACAGAACCTATAAAGCAAATACACAAATGAAACTACAAAAGAACCAGCTAACAACTTCACAATAGAATCAAAACCTCCCATATCAATATTAACCTACAATGTAAATTGTATAGATGCTCCCTTGATAAGGCACATTATGGCAAGTTGAACTTTTTTTTTTTTGAGTGTTTTTGAATTTCATTAATAATATTTAAAATATTTCTATATATTTGCTTTCCAGCTATAGTTTCTCTTTTAAAAGTTTAAATTAATTTAAACAACATATTTTAAAAAGTTTTTTTTGTTTAAAACATTACGTGTATTTTTTAACCAATGAAAATAGTAGGCAAAAGAATAATATATTTTCCCAGAAAAGATATGTTGTTGAATAATAAAGCACTCATTTCAATCCTTGGGAAAACTGGGCAAATTATTATGATGTAATACTGAAGCAGTTTTGCATGAAAAAATACAACAGATTAAAGAGGCAACATCTAATATGCCAGAACAATAGAAATTACAACCAAATACAGAATACTCTAACTTAGAGATGATCTATTCACTGCCATATACATTCAAATTTCATTTTTTTTCTTTTTTTTTGAGATGAAGTTGCCCAGGCTGGAGTGCATTGGCACGATTTCAGCTCACTGCAACCTCTGCCTCCCAGGTTCAAGCGATTCTCTTGCCTCAGCCTCCCAAGTAGCTGGGATTACAGGTGTGAGCCACTACAGCCAGCTAATTTTTTTTAACAACTATTTTTTTTAATTATTATTATACTTTAAGGTTTAGGGTACATGTGCACAATGTGCAAATTTGTTTAAGTTCTTTGTAGATTCTGGATGTTAGCCCTTTGACAGATGGAAAGATTGCAAAACTTTTCTCCAGTTCTCTAGGTTGCCTGTTCACTCTGATGATAGATTCTTTTGCTGTGCAGAAGCTCTTTAGTTTAATTAGTTCCTTTTTGTCAATTTTGGCTTTTGTTGCCATTGCTTTTGGTGTTTTAGTCATGAAGTCTTTGCCCATGCCTATGTCCTGAATGGTATTGCCTAGGTTTTCTTCTAGGGTTCTTATGGTTTTAGGTCTTATGTTTAATTCTTAAATCTATGTTGAGTTAATTTTTGTATAAGGTATAAGGAAGGGGTCCAGATTCAGTTTTCTGAATATGGCTAGCCAGTTTTCCCTACACCATTTATTAAATAGGAAATCCTTTTCCCATTGCTTGTTTTTGTCAGGTTTTCAAAAATCAGATGGTTGTAGATGTGGGACACTATTTCTGAGGCCTCTGTTCTGTTCCATTGGTCTATATATGTGATTTGATGCCAGTACCATGCCTTTTTGGTTACTGTAGCCTTGTAGTATACTTGGAAGTCAGGTAGCATGATGCCTCCAGCTTTTGTTCTTTTTGCTTAGGATTGTCTTGGCTATACAGGCTCTTTTGTGGTTCCATATGAAATTTAAAGTAGTTTTTTCTAATTCTGTGAAGAAAGTCAATGGTAGCTTGATGGGGATAGCATTGAATTTATAAATTACCTTGGGCAGAATGGCCATTTTCATGATATTTATTCTTCCTATCCACTAGCATGGAATGTTTGTCCATTTGTTTGTGTCCTCTCTTGTTTCCTTGGGCAGTAGTTTGTAGTTCTCCTTGAAGAGGTCCTTCACATCTCTCGTAAGTTGGATTCCTAGGTATTTTATTCTCTTTGTAGCAGTTGGGAATGGAGTTCATTCATGATTTGGCTCTCTGTTTGTCTATTATTGGGGTATAAGAATGCGTGAGTTTTACACATTGATTTTGTATCCTGAGACTTTTCCGAAGTTGCTTATCAGCTTAAGGAGATTTTGGGCTGAGATGATGGGGTTTTCTAAATATACAATCATGTCATCTGCAAATAGGGACAATTTGACTTCCTCTCTTCCTATCTGAATATCCTTTATTTCTTTCTCTTCCCTGATTACCCTGACCATAATTTCCAATATTATCTTGAATGGGAGTGGTGAGAGAGGGCATCCTTGTCTTGTGCCGGTTTTCAAAGGGAATGCCTCCAGCTTTTGCCCATTCAGTATGATATTGGATGTTGTTTTGTCATAAATAGCTCTTATTATTTTGCGATATGTTCCTTCAATAGCTAGTTTATTGAGAGTTTTTAGCATGAAGGGTGTTGAATTTTATCAAAGGCCTTTTCTGCATCTATTGAGATAATCATGTGGCTCTTGTCATTGGTTCTCTTTTTGTGATGGATTACATTTATTGATTTGCATATGTTGAACCAGCATTGCATCCTAGAGATGAAGCTGACTTATTCGTGGTAGATAAGCTTTTTGATGTACTGCTGGACTCAAGCTTTTTGATATGCTGCTGGATTCATTTTGCCAGTATTTTATTGAGGATTTTAGCATTGATGTTCATCAGGGATATTGGCCTGAAATTTTCTTTTTTAGTTGTGTCTCTGCCAGGTTTTGGTATCAGGATGATGCCGGCCTCATAAAATGAGTTAAGGAGGATTCCCTCTTTTTCTATTGATAGGAATAGTTTCAGAAGGAATGGGACCAGCTCCTCTTTGTACCTCTGATAGAATTCGGTTGTGAATCTGTCTGGTCCTAGGGTTGTTTTTGGTTGGTAGGCTATTAATTACTGCCTCAATTTCAGAACTTGTTGTTGGTCTGTTCAAGGATTCGACTTCTTCCTGGTTTAGTTTTGGGAATGTGTATGTTTCCAGGAATGTATCCATTTCTTCTTGATTTTCTAGTTTATTTACGTCGAGGTGTTTATAGTATTTTCTGATGGTAGTTTGTATTTCTGTGGGATCAGTGACGATACCCCTTTATCATTTTTATTGTGTCTATGTGATTCTTCTCTATTTACCTCTGTATTAGCCCAGCTAGCAGTCTATCTATTTTGTTAATCTTTTTTTAAAAAAGCAGCTCCTGGATTCATGGATGTTTTGAAGGGTTATTTGTGTCTCTATCTCCTTCAGTTATGCTCTGATCTTAGTTATTTCTTGTGTTGTGCAAGCTTTTGAATTTGTTTGCTCTTGCTTCTCTAATTCTTTTAATTGTGATGTTAGGGTATGGATTTAAGACCTTTCCTGCTTTCTCCTGTGGGCATTTAGTGCTATAAATTTCCCTCTATACACTGCTTTAGCTGTGTCCCAAAGATTCTGGTACACTTTGTCTTTGTTCTCATGGGTGTCAAAGAACTTATTTATTTGCACCTTAATTTCGTTATTTACCCAGTAGTCATTCAGGACCAGGTTGTTCAGTTTCCATGTAGTTGTGCAGCTTTGAGTAAATTTCTTAATCCTGAGTTCTAATTTGTTTGCACTGTGGTCTGAGAGACTGTTTGTTATGGTTTCTGTTCTTTTCCATTTGCTGAGTTATGTTTTACTTCCAATTATGTGATCAATTTTAGAAAGTACAATGTGGTGCTTAGAAAAATCCACATTTTGTTGATTTTAGGTGGAGACTTCTGTGGATATCTATTAGGTCTGGTTAGTCCAGAACTGAGTTCAAATCCTGAATATCCTTGTTAATTTTCTGTTACATTGATCTGTCTAATATTGACAGTGGGGTGTTAAAGTCCTCCATTATTATTTTGTGGGAGTCTAAGTCTCTTTGTAGGTTTCTAAGAACTCGCTTTATGAATCTGGGTGCTCCTGTATTGGGTGCATATATGTTTAGGATAGTTAGCTCTTCTTGTTACATTTATCCCTTTACCATTATGTAACGCCCTTCTCTGTCTTTTTTGACCTTTGTTGGTTTAAAGTCTGTTTTATCAGAGAATAGTATTGCAACCCCTGCTTTTTTTACTTTCCACTTGCTTGATAAATCTTCCTCCATCTTATTATTTTGAGCCCATGTGTGTCTTTGCATGTGAGATGGGTCTCCTGAATACAGCACACTGAAGAGTGACCCTTTATCCAATTTGCCAGTCTGTCTCTTTTAATTGGGGCATTTAGCCCATTTACATTTAAGGTTAACATTGCTGTGTGTGAATTTGATCCTGTTGTTATGGTGCTAGCTGGTTATTTTTCTATTAGTTGATGCAGTTTCTTCATAGTGTTGATGGTCTTTACAATTTGGTATGTTTTTGCAGTGGCTCATTCTGGTTTCTACTTTCCATATTTAGTGCTTCCTTCCAGAGCTCTTGTAAGGCAGGTCTGGCAGTGACAAAATCCCTCAGCATTTGCTTGTCTGTAAAGGATTTTATTTCTCTTTCTCTTATGAAGCTTGGTTTGGCTGGATATAAAATTGTGGGTTGAAAATTCTTTTCTTTAGGAAAGTTGAATATTGTCCCCTACTCTGTCCTGGCTTGCAGGGTTTCTGCAGAGAGATCCACTGTTAGTCTGATGGGCTTCCCTTTGTGGGTAACCCGACCTTTCTCTCTGGCTGCCCTTAACATTTTTTCCTTCATTTCAACTTTGGTGAATCTGAGAATTATGTGTCTTGGAGTTGTTCTTCTCTAGGGTTATCTTTGTGACGTTCTCTGTATTTTCTGAATTTGAATGTTGGCCTGTCTTGATAGGTTTGGGGGAGATCTCCTGGATAATATCCTTAAGACTGTTTTCCAACTTGATTCCATTCTCCCTGTCACTTTCAGACATACCAATCAAACGTAGGTTTGTTCTTTTCACATAGTCCCATATTTCTTGGAGACTTTGTTTTTCATTCTTTTTTCTCTAATCTTGTCTTCACACTTTGTTTCATTAAGTTGATATTCAATCTCTGACATCCTTTCTTCTGTTTGATTGATTCGGCTATTGATACTTGTGTACACTTCACAAAGTTCTCATGCTGTTTTTTAGCTCCATCAGGTCATTTATGTTCTTCTCTAAGCTGGTTATTCTAGGTAGCAATTCCTTTAACCTTTTTTCAAGGTTCTTAGCTTCCTTTCATTGGGTTAGAACATGCTCCTTTAGCTCGGAGGAGATTGTTATTACCCACCTTCTGAAGCCTACTTCAGTCAATTCGTCAAACTCTTTCTCCATCCAGTTTTGTTCCCTTGCTGGTGAGGAGTTGTGATCCTTTGTAGGAGAAGGGGCATTCTGGTTTTTGGAATTTTCAGCCTTTTTACGCTGGTTTTCCCTCATGTTTGTGGACTTATCTACTTTTGGTCATTCATGCTGGTGACCTTCAGATGGGGTTTCGGTGTAGACATACTTTTTGTGGATGTTTATGCTATTCCTTTCTGTTTGTTAGTTTTTCTTCTGACAATCAGGCCTCTCTGCTGCAGGTCTGTTGGAATTTGCTGGAGGTCCACTCTAGACCCTGTTTGTATCACCAGGAGAGGCTGCAGAACAGCAAAGATTGCTGCCTGTACCTTCCTCTGGAAGCTTTGTCCAAGAGGCGCACCCGCCAGATGCCGGCGGCGCTCTCCTGTATAAGGTGTCTGTTGACCCTTGCAGGGAGGTGTCTCCCAGTCAGGAGGCATGGGGATCAGGGACCCAGTTAAAGAGATAGTCTGTCCCTTAGTAGAGCTCCAGCACTAAGAGACACAAGGATCACAACTCCTCGCAAGCAAGGGAACAAAACTGGATGGAGAAAGAGTTTGATGAATTGACAGTAGTAGGCTTCAGAAGGTGGCTCTCTTCAGAGCCAACAGGCAGCAATGTTTAAGTCTGCTGAAGCTGCACCCACAGCCACCCCTTCCCTTAGGTGCTCTCTCCCAGAGAGATGGGAGTTTTATCTATAGCACCTGACTGGGGCTGCTGCCTTTCTTTCAGAGATGCCCTGCCCAGAGAGGAGGAATATAGAGAGCCAGTCTGGCTAAAGTGGCTTTGCAGAGCTGTGGTGGGCTGCACCCAGTTCAGACTTCCCAGGGGCTTTGTTTACACTGTAAGGGGAAACCGCCTATTCAAGCCTCAGTAATGGTGTACACCCTTCCCTGCACCAAACTCAAGCATCCCAGGTTGACTTCAGACTGCTGTGCTGGCAGCAAGAATTACAAGCCAGTGGATCTTAACTTGTTGGGTTCCAAGGTGGGTGGGATCTGCTGAGTTAGACCACTTGGATCCCTGGCTTCAGCCTCCTTTCTAGGGGAGTAAATGGTTCTGTCTAGCTGGCATTCCAGGCACCACTGGGGTATGAAAAAAAAAAAAAAAAAAAACTCTTGCAGCTAGCTCATTGTCTGCCCAAACTGCCACCCAGTTTTGTGCTTGAAACCCAGGACCCTGGTGTCATAGGCACCCGAGGGAATCTCCTGGTCTGCGCGTTGTGAAGACCATGGGAAAAGCCTAGTATTTGGGCCAGAGTGCACCATTCCTCGCTGCACAGTCCCTCATGGTTTTCCTTGGCTCAGGTAGGGAGTTCCCCAAACCCTTGCACTTTTGGGCTGAGGCAATGCCCACTCTGCTTCAGCTCACCCTCTGTGGGCTGCACCCACTGTCTAACCAGTACCAATGAGATGAGCCTGGTACTTCAGTTGGAAATGCAGAAATCACCTGTCTTCTGCATTGAGGTGGGAGCTGCATACCAGAGCTGTTCCTATTCAGCCATCTTGCCAGCCACCTCCAAAACTGATTTTTAAATAAACAACAGTAAAAGTGTGCAAAGAAGGATGTTACATAATGATAATGGGTCCAATTTACAGGATGATTTAATTCTACTAAATATATTCATACCCAACATTCAAGCATCCACATTAATAAAACAAGTACTTTTAAATCTACAAAAATACTTAGGCAGTCATGCAATAATAATGGAAAATTTTAACATCCCAGTGACAGTATTAGATAGATCATCAAGGCAGAAAACTAATGAATAAATTATCAACTTATATTTTACATGTGAACTATTGGAACTAATAGACACCTATAGAAAACTCCATCCATCAATCAGAGTATACACATTCTTCTTATCTGCACACAGAACATACTCTGCCATAAAGCATGTCTCAATAAGTTCAAAAATATTGAAATCAAACCAACCATACTTTTGGACTACAGTGGAATAAAACTACAAGTCATTACCAAGAAGAGCTCTCAAAACACACAGTTACATGGAAATTAAACAATTTGCTTGTGAATGACTTTTGTGTAAACAACAAAATTAAGGCAGAAATTTAAAAAATTGAAATAAAAGAAAAGAGAGAAACAATGTACCAAAAACAGCAGTAAGATGAAAGCTAAACACAACATCAAGAAGTTAGAAAGATCTGAAATTAATAGTCTGACATTGCACCTTAAAGGAAATACAAAAACAAGAACAAAGTAACCCCAAAGCTAACAGAAGAAAATAAATAACTATAATCAGAGAAGAACTGAATGAAATTCAGAAAATCCATGCAAAGGATCAATTAAGCAAAAAACTGATTCTCTGAAAGGATAAACAAGATTGAAATACCATTAACAATAGCTAGATTAACAACAAAAAGAAGATAAAAATAAATGCAATTAGCTACGAAAAAGGTGACACTGCAATCAACCCCACAGAAATAAAAAAGACCCTCAGAGACTATTATTAACACTTCTGTGCAAACAAACTTGAAAATATAGAGAAATGCGTAAGTTCTTGGGAAAAATAAAACTGCTGAAGACAGAATCAGGAATAAATGGAAACCTTGTACAGGCTATTATGGAAATTCAAAATTGAATACGTCATACAAAACCTATAAACTAAAAGGAGCTCTGGACCACATGGATTCACAGTCAAATTCTACCAGACATGCAAAGAAGAACTAGTACTAATTCTACTAAAACTATACCAAAAAAATTGAAAAGGAGGAACTAATCTCTCTCATTCTACAAAGCTAGCCTCATTTTGATACCAGTCTCTGGCAAAGACACAAGAAAAAAAGAAACTGCAGGCCAGTATCTCTGATAAACATAGACACAAAAGTCCTGAATAAAATACTAGCAAACTGAATCCAGCAGCACATTAAAAAGTCAATTCATCATGATTGAGTGGATTTTATTCCTGGGATGTAGGGTTGCTTCAACATATTCAAATCAATAAATTTGATTCGCCACATAAACAGAATTTTTTAAAAATATAATCATCTCAATAGACCCAAGAAACTTTTGATAAAATACATCTATTCAAGATGAAACCCCTCAGTGAACTAGCCATCAAAGAAACATACCACAAAATCATGAGTCATTTGTCACAACCTACATGCACTCTCATATTGAATGGGCAAATATTGGACATATTCCCCTTAATAAATGGAAGAAGAAAAGTATGCTCACTGTCACTACTCTTATTCTACACAGTACTGAAAGTCCAAACAAGAGAAATCAGGAAAGAGAAAGAAATAAAAGGCAACTAAATAGAAGATTTTAAACTATCTCTCTTGACTGCTGATATGATTCTATACCTAGAAAATCCTAAAGGCTACGCAAAAAGGCTCCTCAAATTGATAAACCACTTAAATAAAACTTAAGTATATAAAATAAATGTATGAAAATCAGTAGCAGTTCTATATACCAGTTACTTTCTAGCTGACAGCCAAATAAAGAATGAGTCTCCATTTACATTAGGCACAAAAATTTAAACAGCTAGGAATACATCTAACCAGAGAGGTAAAAGATCTCTACAAGAACTTCAAAATACTGCTGAAACATATCATAGATGACACACACAAAAAATCAAAAAACATTGCATGCCCGTGGATTGGAAGACTTAATCTTGTTAAAATGACCATACTGCCCAAAGCAGTATACAGATTTAACACTCTTCCTACCAAGCTTCTAAGGTCATTTTTGACAAAAAAAAGAACATTTTAAAATTAATAAGGAAACAAAAAGAGCCCAAATGGCCAAAGCAATACTAGGCAAAAAAGAACAAAACCAGAGACATCACATTACTCAACCTCAAACTATACCGTAAGACCACAGTAACCAAAACAGCATGGTACTTGTACAAAAAAGAAACATAGACCAATGGAACAAAATACAGACCCCAGGAATAAAGCTGCACACCTACAGCAAGGCAATAAGAAGAGGACTACCTACCTATTCAATAAATAGTGCTGAGATAGCTGGCTAACCATATGAAGAAGAATAAAACTGGATCACTACTTCTCACCATGTACAAAAATTAACTCAAGACAGATTTAAGTCTTAAATGTAAGACCTAAAAATCCTAGAAGAAAATCTAAGAAATACCATTCTGGACATCAGCCTTGGCAAATAATTTATGACTAAGTACTCAAAAGCAATTGCAATAGAAATAAAAATTGACAAATAAGACCCAATTATACTAAAGAACTTTTGCACAGCAAAAGAAACTATCAACAGAATACACAGACAACTTACAGAAAAGGATAAAATATTCACAAACTATGCATCCAACAAATATCAAATATCCAGAATCTATAAGAAAGTTAATTTAGCAAGCAATAAACAAATAACACCAATTAAAGTGGGCAAAAAGGAAAACATACAAGTGGCCAACAAACATACAAAAAATGCCCAACATTACTAATCATTAGAGAAATGCAAGTCAAAACCACAATGAGTTACCATTTCACACCAATCAGAATGCCTATGATTAAACATTTCAAAATAGCATATGTTGGCTAGGTTGCAAAAAAATAAAAGGGGGATCACTTACACACTGGTGCAAATGTAAATTAGTCCAGCAAGTGTGGAAAGCAGTTTAGAGATTTCTGAAGGAACCCGAAACAAAACTACCATTTGACCCAGCAATCTCATTACTGAGTATATATCCAAAACAAAATAAACCGTTCTACCAAAAAGACACATGCACTTATAAGTTTGTTGCAGCACTATTCACAATAGCAAAGACATGTAATCAACCAAGGTGCCAATCAATGAGGGATTGGTAAAGGAAATGTGGTACATATAAATCTTGAAATACTATGCAGTCATAATAAAGAACAGAAGCATACCCTTTGGAACAACATGGATGCAGCTGGGGGCCATTATTCTAAGCAAATTATCACAGAAACAGAAAACCAAATATTGCATGTTCTCACTAATAAGTGAGAGCTAAACATTGGGTACCCATGGACATGAAGATGGCAACAATAGATACTGGAGACTACTAAAAGGGACGGTAAGGGTTAAAAAACTATTGTGTACTATGATCATTATTTGGGTGACAGTGTCAATCATACTCCAAACTTCAGCATCACATGATATATCCATGTAACAAACCTGTACATATACCCCCATGAATCTAAGGTAAAAGGTAAAATTATTAAAATAATAATAACTAATAATATAAGACATTGATATCCCTAAATTCAACTAAAGATAATCATCTGGAAAGAAAATCAATGAAGAAATAATGAACTCGAACAACACAATACACCAAACACACCCTACAGAAATATGCAAAGCATTCCATCTAGTGGCAAAAGAACACATAACTTTCTCAAGTATGCATGACGCCGTTCTCAGAACAGACCATATATTAGGACACAAATCAAGTCTTTCCAAATTTCAAATACTGATAAAATATCACATATCTCTTCCAGTTACAATACTATGAAACTGGAAATCAGTAATGAAATAGAAATTAGAAAATTCATAAATATGTGAAAATTTAGCAACATAATGTTGAACAACCAATGGATCACAGAAATCAAAAGGAAAACAAAAATATATTAGAAAAACAAAAATGGAAGCAAAACATAACACAACTTATAGATACAGCAGAAGCAGTTCTAAAAGGAATGTTCAAAGCAATAAATAGCTACATTAAGAAGAAAAAAAGGAATATCTCAAATAACCTACGTTTATACCTCAGTGGACTAGAAAAAAAATAATGAAATAAGCTGAAAGTCAGCAGAAGTGATGATACTTAAAGAACACAGCAGATGTGGAAAAATAGGAATGCTTTTACCCTGTTGGTGGCAATATAAATTTGTTCAACCATTGTGGAAGACAGTGTGGTGATTCCTCAAAGACCCAGAACCAGAAATATCATTTGACTCAGCAATCCCATTAATGCGTATGTACCAAAAGGAATATAAATCATTCTATTATAAAGATACATGCATGCATATGTTCACTGCAGCACTATTCACAATAGCAAAGACATGGAATCAACCCAAATGTCCATCAATGATAGACTGGATAAAGAAAATGTGATATATATATACCATGGAATACTCTGCATCCATAAAAAGGAACAAGATCATGTCCTTTGCAGAGGCATGGATGGAGCTGGAAGCCATTATCCTCAGCAAACTAACATAGGAACAGAAAACCAAACATCGCATGTTCTTACTTATAAGTGAGAGCTGAATAGTGAGAACACATGGACACAGGAAGGGAACAACACACACTGATGCCTGTTGGGGGAAATGGGAGAAGGGAGAGCATCAGGATAAATAGCTAATGCATGCAGGGGCTTAATGCCTAGGTGATGGATTGGTAGGTGCAGCAAACCACCATGGCACATGCTTACCTATGTAACAAACCTGCATGTCTTGCATATGTATCCTGGAACTTAACATAACTTTTTTTAAAAAAGAGAAAAAGAACACAGCAGGAATAAATGAGACTACTGAAACAATAAAAAAACTGTTCTCTGAAAATATAAACAAAATGGATGAATATTTAGCTACACTAACAAAAAATAAGAGGGAAAACTCAAATACATAAAATTACAATTGAAAAATGACACATTACCACTGAGGCTACAGAAATCCAGACAATCACAGGAGACTACAATTATATGATAAAAAATTAAATAACATAGAAGAAATAGATGAATTCCTAGAAACACACGACTTACAAAAATGAATCATTGAAATATAGAAAATCTTATCAGAAAAGTAATGAGAAAGGATATTGAATGAGTAATCAGAAACCTCAGATCAAAGGATATGCCAAATGGCTTTATTGGTGAATTCTACCAAACATTTCAGTACAAGTTAATGCCAATTTTTCTCAAACTCTTTCAAAACACTAAAGAGGAGGGAACACTTCCAAACTCATTTCACAAGGCCAGCATTTTCCATATTAAAGCCAGGAAAGAATATGATATAAAAAGGAAATGACACGCCAATATTATTGATAAAAAATAGATTAAAAAATCCTAAAGAAATTATTAGTAAAGTGAATTTAATGGCACATTCATAAGATAATACTCCATGATAAAGTGGGAATTGTCCCTGGGATGCAAATGTGCTTTAACATATGCAAATAAATTAATGTGATACATCTGATTGACTGAATGAAAAATAAAAATTATATGATAATCTCGATATATGCAGAAAAAGCAGGTTACAAAATTGAAATTTCTTTCATAAAAACATTTTCAACAAATTAGGCATAGAAATAATAATCCTCAATATAATAAATGCCATATATTTATTAAGTCTATAGTTAACACTATCCTCAATCATTAAAGCTCAAAACTTCTCTTCTAAGATCAGGAATAAGAGAAGGATGCCTAATCTGGCCACTTCTATTCAATGTAGCACTGAACGCCCTAGCCAGAGCAGTAAGAGAAGAAGTATAAAGAAAGGGAATCCAAATTGAAAATGGAAATGTAAAATTGTCTCTGTTTCTTGAAAACCCGAACTCCTTTATAGAAAAACCTGAAGACTTCATAAAGAATATTAGAAGTAATAAATGAATTTAGTAAAGTTGCAGGATATGAAAATCAACATGAAAAATAAGTGGCGGACCAGCAAGAAAATAAAATAAAATAAAATAAAACTAAGCCCACAGGTACTAGAAGAAAGAATATAACAAAGAATAGAGCAGAAACAAATGAAAGAGAAGCTAGAAAAAAAATAGAAAAGGAAAAACAAAACTATAAGTTGGCTTTTTGAAAAGATAAAATTGATGAACCTTAAGCTGGAATTTGAAAAAGAGGGAAGACTCAAATAAAATTAAAGTGAAGGAGGAGACATTACAGCTCATACCACAGAAATGCAAAGAATTATAACAGGGTAATGTATAAATAATTATACATTAAAAGTTGGAAAATTTAGAAGACATGGATAAATTCCCAGAAGCATACCACTTACCAAGATTAAACCTCAAAGAAATAAAATCTGAGCAGACTAATTAACAAGTAAGGAGATCAAATCAGTAATCAAAACTTCCGAATGTTTATTGCTATAAACTTTCCTCTTAGAACTGCTTTTACTGTGTCTTATCTAATTTAGTATGTTGTGCTTTCCTTTTCATTTGTCTCAACAATTTTAAAAGTTATTTTAAAATTTCTACATTGACCCACTGTTTGTTTATTGGCATGTTGTTTAATTTTTATGTATTCATAGTTTCTGCTGTTTCTCCTGTTTAGTTTTATACCACTGTGATAAAAAATACTCGATTTATTTTTATCATAAATTTTTTAAGACTGGTTTTGTGGTATAACATATAAGCTGTCCTGCAAAATGTTTCATGTGCAGTTGAGAATAATGTGTATTCATCATCTTTTCAATGGAATGTTCTGGATATGTCAAATTCATTTGGTCTATATTGCAGTTTAATTCCCTTGATTCATTTTGATTTTCTGTGTAGATGATCTGCCCACTGATGAAGGTGGGGTGTTGAAGTTCCCTACTATTGTTGTATTGCAGTGTCTCTCTCCTTTTAGATCTATTAATATTTGTTTTATACATTTAGGTGCTCCAATATTAGGTGTGTGTATATCTATGATTATCATAACTTCTTGCTGAATTGACCCATTTGATTACATAATAAATTTTTCGTCTCTTTTACAGCCCTTGATTTAAGATATATTTTATCTGACATAAGTAGAGCTAAACCTGCTCTTTTTTGATTTTCATTTGCATAGAATACCTTTATTCATCTGTTTACTTTTATTCTATGGGTGTCCTTACAGGTGAAGATAGTCTCTTATAGGCAGCATATAGTTGTACCTTGTCTTTTATTGATTCAATTACCCTACATCTTTTGATTGAATAATTCAAACCATTTGCATTCAAATTAATTATTGATACATGTGGACTTATTACTACCATTTTTGTGATTGTTTTCTAGTTGTTTTGTAGAACCTTTGTTGCCTTTTTTCTCGATTAATGGCTTTCTTTGTGGTTAAGTCATTTTCCTAGCAGTATGCTTTGATTTCTTGCTTTTTATTTTTAGTGTATCTCTTATACATTTTCACTTTGTGTTCACCACGGCTTACCAAAAGCATCTTATTAGTTATAACAGTTTATTTTAAACGAAAAACCTAAACTTTGGTAACAAAATAAAGGAGAAAAACTCCACTTTAACACCACTCCCCCCAGTTTGAACTTTTTAGGTCACAATTTAAATTTTTATATCAAACCTTCATTAACAAGTTGTTGTCATAATTATTGTTTTAGAGTATTCAGAATTTGATGATGTACCAGTTATATACTTTCTGATATTTTTGTGCTGCACGTTAGTGTCCTCTACTTTTATCTTGATAAACACCATTTAGAATTTCTTCTAAGACAGTCGGTGGTATTAAATTACTTTGACTTTTGTTTGTGTGGAAAAGTATGTTTGCTTTTTTCTGAAAAAAAATTTTGCTGGGTATAGCGTTACTACTTGACAGGATTGTTGTTGTTGTTACCACTTTGAATATATTATCCCACTCCCTCTTGGGGAGAAAATGGACTCTGCTGAGAAGTCTTCTGCTAGGCATGATGGGACTCTCTTTTGTGTTATTTGCTCCTTTTCTCTTGCTGATTTTAGGATCCTTTCTTTGTCTTTGATATTTGGCATTTTGATTATAATATGTTGCAAGTAGTCTTATTAAAATTAAATCTGATTGGAGACTTTCAACCTTTCTGTACCTAGATATTTATGTATTTCTACAGGTTTTAAAATTTTTCTGTTATTATTTCTTCAAATATGCTATGTACCCTTTTGCCTTTCTCTACTTCTTAAGCATAGTGACCCATTTACTTGATTCTTTGATTTTGTTCCACTAATTCCTCAAGCTTTCTTTATTTCTTTTAATTATTTCTTTTAATCTGACTGTATATTTTCAATAAGCCTGTCTTTGAGTTCACAGATTCTTTTTTCTGATTAATCAGTTCTGCTGTTGTTGCTCTCTATGGCATTTACATTTAAATTTATGGTATTTTTCAGCTCCAGAATTTGTTTGATTTTTTATTATTTCAATCTCTGTTATATTTTTCTCATAAATTTCTCAATTGTTTCTCTGTATTTTATTAATGTTAGCTGAGCTTTCTTAAAACAGCTATTTTGAATTCTATTTCAAACTGTTCTTTCATTGTCTTCTTTTTAGTGTCAGTCACTGGCATCTTCTCTGTTTGGGGATGTCATGTTCTCCTGATTGATCTTAATTATTGTGGCCATGCATTCATGTCTGCAAATTGTTTCAGATACCTAATTTAGTCTGTGCAGTCCGTCTTTGTTTGGGAACATCCTTCAGCAGTAAGCCTGTCCAGAGATTCAGTGAAGTTTACTGGTTAGGTCTGTAAGCCCATTACCACTTTAGCTGTTGAGGTGTTAAGGGGCCCCATAAACCCAGGAGAGCCACAGTTAGACTCCTTTGGCTATCAAGGTAGACACAGCACTAAATTTCCTCTAAAGCCCCCAGCTGCCAAGACCAGTGGAGCACTGGGGTATGCCCAAGGCCTGTAACTGCTACAGTCTTCCCACTGCTGGGGTTTATGCTAGGCTCAAGTTTGTTGTAGTCAGCTGGTGATGAAATGGATCCTTAGTGCATCTTGTTAAAGCTATGGGTTTCTTTCTGGTGCTGGAGTAGATCTAGAGGGTCTGCTCACAGGTACCATCCTAGTGAGATATGAGGTTCTGCCCAGTGATAGGTTTCACTGTGGCAGGCCCAGTACTGGGTTACAAGGCAAAGTCCCACATTCACCTTCTTATTCTTTCTCAAGCAAATGGTGTCTCTCTCCGTGTTGTGCTGCCTGTGCTTGGGGGAGTGGTGATGTGGACAACCTCATGGTTGCTGATGCAGTGTGGGATCACATCAGGAACTCACTGCCACTGAGACCAGCACAGCACCAGGACATGCATATGTGAATGTAAAAGTATCTAAGACAAGTCTCAGTCAATTTAGAAAGTTTATTTTGCCAAGATCAAGGATGCACCCATGAGACAGCCTTAGGAAGTCCTGATGACATGTGCCCAAGGTGGTCAGAGCACAGCTTGGTTATATACATTTTAGGTAGACATGAAATATCAATCAATATCTGTAAGATGTACATTGGTTCAGTCTGGAAATGCAGGACAACTCAAAGCAGGGGCCTTTCAGGTCATAGGTAGATATGAGACAAAGGGTTCTATTCTTTGGGTCTGTAATGAGACACTTATTGAAAACACAATTTACATTTACATGTGATGGGGGTAGAGGAATAGTCACTTAGGCCTTAGATTGGCTTAATGAATCTGTTGTATTTTTACATAAATAGCAGTGCAGAGGAAGCAATCAGATACGCCTTTGTCTCAGGTAAGCAGAGGGGTGACTGAGTTCTGTCTGTCCTTTGTTCTGCACCTGTGAAGATAAGCTAACAATCTACATTGCCAGGGTGAAATTCAACAAAACTGTTTTCGGGTAAAGATCTTGAGGCCCACAAAAACTCCCTTGTGGACAGTGAAGGAGTTATGTAGCTTTTTAAAATGTTTGCAGCTATCTTATTTAGGAATAAAATGGGAGGGATATTTGCCTAACACAGTTCCAAGCTTGACTTTTCCCTTTGGCTTAGTGATTTAGGGGTCCTGAGAATTATTTTTCTTTCACATTCCCTCTCTTTTTTTCTTAAAATCTTTCAGAGAAAAATTTTTAGAAAAAAAAGTGATTCTCTGGTCTCAGGATTTTTCTGATCTCTCATGGCTAGGATGCTTTATTCCTAGAGGAATAGGTCCCATATTATTAGGAAAGCTCATTTTTTTCACAAGTTGTGAAGTCTCACATCCTACAAAGAGAAAATAGAGAAAGGAAGAGAAAAATCCTAACAAACAAACAAAGATGTTGTTTGAACAACACCTTGAACAACCTCAAAAAATCAATATAGGCCATATTACTCTGAAGTTTATACATTAGTAGGAAGGTAGGAAGGTGGTTTGTCTATGTTAATAGGTTGCTGTTATTTTCTTCTGAAGTTTAAGTAGTCTAGTTTCAGTTCACAGAATGCTATGAAAGTACAATTTATTTTTTTGTTATTTTAAATAAAAAAATGGTGGAAATAAAGGAAAGAAGGAAAAAATTGAAAACATTATTTTTGGAGACATAGACAGGAAAATTTTAGAATTCAGTCTAAACTGTAGAAAATAACAAAAATAAAAAAGGGCAAGAATAAAATCTGATAGGTGTTACTATTTTTTATTTTGAAATATAATTTTTCTCTCTTTGAGCCCCGTTTTCACTAAAGACATATCATGGAACAGATTTACTTGTAAAATAAGTGTTGGTCATATTATGCTTTGCCTAAATATTTGCATAAATTCAGCAAGAATAATTATCTGCCATATAGGCTTTTTTAACAATTGTATTTATTTTTTATTTTTCTACTTTCTGGTTTTTATTTCAATAACTTTTGGGGTGCAAGTGGCTTTTTGTTACATGAATGAATTATATAGTGGTGAATTCTGACATTGTAGTGTATCCTTCACCCAAGTATCTAATATGTAGTTTTTTTTTGCCCCTAGTCCCCTTTACACCTTTCCCCACTTCTAGGTCTCCAAAATTCATTATATCATTCTGTATGCATTTGAATACTTATAGCTTACCTCCACTTATAAGTGAGAACAAATACTTTTTGATTTTCTACTCCTGTGTTACTTCACTTAGAACAATCACCTTTAGCTCCATTCAAGTTGCTACAAAGGACATTATGTCATTCCTTTTAATGGCTGAGTAGTAGTATATGGTGCATATATGCCACATTTTCTTTTTTCATTCATTTGTTGATGGACACTAAGGTTGGTTCCACATCTTTGCAATTATAAATTGTACTGCTATAAACATATGTTTGCCTGTGTCTTTTTCATATAATAATCTTATTTTCTGTAGGGTGGATTCCCAGTATTGGGATTGCTGGGTTGGATGGTAGATATACTTTCAGCTCTTTAAGGAATCTCCATACTGTTTTCCATACAGGCTGTACTAATTTACATTCCCACAAGCAGTGTATAAGCATTCCCTTCTCCCCACATCCACACCAACATCTATTGTTTTTTGACTTTTTAATAATGGTAATTCTTGCAGGAGTAAGGTGGTATCTGTCTCATTGTAGTTTTAATTTGCATTTCTCTGATGATTAGTAGCATTTTTTCATAGGTTTGTTGGGCATTTGTATACCTTCTTTTGATAAATGTCTGTTTATGTCCTTTGACCACTTTTTTAATGGGATTATTTTTTTTTCTTGGTGATTTGTTTAAATTTTTGCAGATTCTGGATACTAGTCCTTTGTCAGATGCATAGTTTGCAAAAATTTTCTTCCATTCTGCAGGTTGTCTGTTTACTCTGTTGATTACTTCTTTTACTGCGCAGAAAGAAGCTTTTTAGTTTAATTAGGTCTCATTCATTTATTTTTGTTTGTGTTGCATTTGCTTTTAGGGTCTAAGTTATGAATTATTTGCCTAGGCTGATGTCTAGAAGAGGTTTTTCAACCTTCATTTCTAGAGTTTTTTTAGTTTCAGGTCTTATATTAAAGTATTTGATCCATCTTGAGCTGGTTTTTTATATGGTGAGAGATAAGGATTCAGTTTCATTCTTCTACATGTGGCTTGCCAGTTTTCCCAGCACCATTTATTAAATAGGGTGTCCATTCCCCAATTTATGTTTTTGTTTACTTTGTTAAAGATCAGTTGTCTGCATATATTCAGCTTTATTTCTGGGTTCTCTATTCTGTTCCATTGCTCTATGTGCCTACTTTTATACTAGTACCATGTTGTTTTGGTAACTATAGCCTTGTTGTATACTTTAAAGTGGGGTAATGTCATGCCTCCAGATTTGTTCTTTTTGCTTAAGATTGCTTTGGCTATCTGGGCTCTTTTTTAGTTCCATACGAATTTTAGGAATTTCCTTTCTAATTATCTGAAAAATGACGGTATTTTGATGGCAATTACATTGAATCTGGAGATTGTTTTGGGCAGTGTGATCATTTTCACAATATTGATTCTTCCAATCCATGAACATGGGCTGTGTTTTCATTTGTTTGTGTCATCTGTGATTTCTTTCAGCAGTGTTTTGTAGTTCTCCTTTTAGAAATCTTCTACTTCTTTGGTTATGTATATTGCTAGGTATTTTATTTTTGTGCAGCTGTTGTAAAGGGGATTGAATTCTTGGGTTGTTTCTCAGCTTGGTCTTTGTTGGTATATAGCAGTGTTACTAATTTGTTTACATTGATTTTGTAACCGGAAACTACTGAGTTTGTTTATCAAATATAAGAGTCTTTTGCAGGAGTATTTAGGATTTTCTAGGTATGCAATCATATTATCTGCAAATAGTAATGGTTTGACTTCCTCTCTTCCAATTTTGATGCCGTTAATTTTTTATTGCTTGCCTAATTGGTCTGGCTTATTGTACTTCCCAAACTATGTTGAATAGGTGTGGAGAAAGTGGACATCTTTGCCTTGTTCCTATTGTCAGGGGGAATGCTTTCAACTTTTCCCCATTCAGTATAATGTTGATTGTGGGTTTGTCATATATGGCTTTTATTACTTTCATGTAGGTCTCTTCTATCCTAGTTACTTGAGAGATTTTATTATAAAGGGGTGCTGGGTTTTGTTGAATGCTTTTCTGCATCTATTGAGATGATCATATGGTTTTTGGTTTTACTCCTGTTTATATGTTTGTATCACATTTATTACTTGAACACATTAAAACATCCGTACATCCTAGGGATAAAACCCACTTGATCATAATGAATTATCTTTTTGATGTGCTATTGAATTCAATTGGCTAGTATTTTGTTGAAGATTTTTGCACCTATGTTCACCAGGAAAATTGGTCTGTAGTTTTCTTTTTTGTTGTGTCCTTTTCTGGTTTGGTATCAGAGTGATACTACCTTCATGGAATAATTTAGGAAGGATTCCTTCTTTCTCAATCTTTAGGAATACTTTCAGGAGGTTTGGTGCCAAGACATCTTTGAATGTCTGGTGGAATGCCACCATGAATTTATCCAGTCCTGGGCCTTTTGGTTGTTGGCAATTTTAAATTACTGATTCGATCTCAATGCTTGTTATTGGTCTGTTCAAGGTTTCTATTTCTTCCTAATTTAATCCAGGAATGTATTCATCTTTATAAATTTTATTTTAGGTTCTGGGATATAAGTGCTGAATGTGCAGGTTTGTTACATAGGTATACATGTGCCATGGTGGTTTGCTGCACCTATCAATCCATCATGTAGGTTTTAAGCCCCACATGCTTTAGGTATTTGTCCTAATGCTCTCCCTCCCCTTGACCGCCAACCCCCAACAGGCCCTGGTGTGTGATGTTCTTCTCCCTGTGTCCATGTGTTCTCAGTGTTCAACTCCCACTTATGAGCGAGATTATATGGTGTTTGGCTTTCTCTTCCTGTGTTAGTTTGCTGAGAATGATGGCTTCCAGCCTCATCCATGTCCCTGCAAAGGACATGAACTCATTATTTTTATGGCTGTATAGTATTCCATGGTGTATATATGCTAGATTTACTAGTTTGTTTGCATAAAGGTGTTCATAGTAGTCTTGAACGATCCTTTGTCTTTCTGTGGTGTGAGTTTTAATGTCTTCAGTTTTATTTCTAATTTAGCTTATTTGCATCTTCTCTCTTCTTGGTTAATCTAGCTAATAGTCTACCAATTTTGTTTATTTTTTCAAAGAACCAGATTTTCGTTTTATCGATCTTTTGCAATTTTTGTTTGAATTTTATTTAGTTCTGTTCTGATCTTTATTTCTTTCCTTATTCTAGTTTTAAGTCTAGTTTGTTCTTGTTTATATAGTTCCTTGAAGTATGACATTAGGTTTCAATTTGTGCTTTTTCAGACTTTTTGATGTAGGCATTTAGTGCTATAAACTTCTCTCTTAGTAATTATTTTGCTGTATCCCAGAGGTTTTGATAACAACTGTCATTATTATTCAATTCAAAATTTTTTTTTAAATTTTCATTACAATTTTATTGTTAACCCAGATATTATTCAGGACCAGATTATTTAATTTCTATGAATTTGTATAGTTTTGAGAGTTCCTTTTGGAGTTGATTTCTAGTTTTATTCTGCTGTGGTCTGAGAAGATGCTTGATATGATATTGATTTTTTTAAGTTATTAAGACTTGTTTCATGGTCTATTATATTGTCTATCTGGGAGAATGTTCCATGTACTGATAAGAAGAATGTATATTCTGCAGTTGTTGAGAAGAATGTTCTGTAAATATCTGATAAGTCCATTAATTCTAGCATGTCATTTAAGTTCATTATTTCTCTCTTGACTTTTTCAAACATCTGTCTAGTGCTTTCAGTGGTGTATTGAGTTTCACTATTATTGTTTTGCTGTCTATTTCATGTCTTAGGTCTAGTAGTAATTGTTTTATGAATCTAGGAGTTCCAGTTTTGGTGCATCTAAATTTAAAAATGCAGTATCCTCTTGCTGAATTGTTCCTTTTATCATATATAGTAACCATATCTGTCTTTTTCATTGTTGTTGCTTTGAAGTCTGTTCTGTCTGATATAAGAGTAGCTACTCATGTTTGCTTTTGGTTTCCATTTACATGGAATCTTTTTTCACCCTTTTTCCTTGAGTTTATATAAATCCTTTCATATGAGGTGAGTCTCTTGAAGGTAGTAGATATTTGGATTTTAATTTTTTTTATTATGATGGCATTCTGTGGAGCATTTAGGCCATTTACATTCAATGTTAATATTGAGATGTGAGATGCTGTTCTCTTCATCATGTTAATTGCTACCTAGTTATTTTATTGTGTTATTTTATAGGTCCTGTGAGTTTTAAGCCTTCAAGGTATTCTATTTTATAGCATAACGTGCTATTGTTTCAAGGTTTAGAACTTTTTTAAAGCATTTTTTGTAGTTCTGGTTTGGTAGTGACAAGTTCCCTCAGCATTTGTTTTCTCAAAGTGAATTTATTTCTCCTTCATTTATGAAACTTAGTTTTACAGGATACAAAATTATTGGCTGATAATTGTTCTATTTGAGGAAGTTGAGGATAAGACCCTAATGCCTTCTGGCTTGTAAGATTTCTGCTGCGAAGTCTGCTGACATCTGATGGGGTTTCCTTTGTAGGTTACCTGATGCTTTTATCTTACTGCTCTTAGTATTATTTCTGTCATGTTGACTTTAGAAAGCCTGATGACTATATGCCTTGGAGAAAATCTTTCTGCAATACTTTTTTTGGGAATTCTTTGAAATTTTTGTACTTGGATATGTAATTCTTTATCCAGGACAGGGACTTTTTTTTTTTCAATTATTTCTTCAAATAAGTTTTTCAGACCTATTATTTTCTCTTCTCCCTCATGAATGCTAATAATTCTTAGGTTTGTCCATTTTACATAATCCCATATTTCTTGGTGATTTTGTTCATTTCTTTTTATTTTTTGTCATATTTGTTTGATTAGGTTATTTCAAAACCTTTTCTTCAAGCTCTAAATTTCTTTCTTCTACTTGTTCTAGTATATTTTTTAAAACTTTCCACTGCATTTTGTAGTTCCCTCAGTGTATGGCTAAATCCATTTTAACAGTGGACTTAGTGTGTCCTCAGTGTATCTTTTATTTCCAGAAGTTTTTATTGAATTTTCTCAATGATATCTATCTTTCCAGAAAATTTTTCATTTATACCCTGAATTACTTTTTAAAATTCTTTATGATAGTTTTCATCTTTCTCTGATATCTCCTGTAGTAGCTTCATAATTTACCTTCTGAATTTCTTATCTGATATTTCAAAGATTTCCTCTTGGTTTGAGTCCATTGCTGGAGAGCTAGTGTAATTTTTTGTGGGAGTTATAGCACTCTGTTTTGTCATTTTACCAGAGTTATTTTTCTGGTTTCTTCTCATGTGGATAGACTATTTCTTCTAATTATTCTTGAATGTATGTTTTATTTTACTGTGCTTATTTTGTTTGTTTTTAAATTTTTTTCTTTAAGAATGAGATTGTAATGCTTGTAGATAATTATAGTCTAATGTGGTTCTTGGTTTTTTCACTGAAGAAGAGTCTGTAAGAGTTTCATCATTATAGAAAATCTTTGTATGTTGGCTCTCACATATGCTGGCTTTAGTAGCAATGTGTTTGGTGCATAAGCAAGTTCACTATTTCCTATGGAGTTGGAATGGTAGAGGTCCTCATGATGTGTACTTTTTATGTATTTATTTCCCCCATGGTGTATAATTTTCATTTAACTATTTTTCCCATTTAACTAGCTATATATAAATTTGTTATATTTAACTAATTTATTTACTAGTTTGATGGTTTAGGCTTCAGGCCAGTAGGGGAGTTGTCCCTGGCCTGAACCAGTTGTAGCTAAAGCAAGTGGGTTAATGAGGTTCTGGCCTTGACAGAGGTGGCTGAAGGAGCTCTCAGTGAGTTGTACAAAGGTTTTATCAAGGAGAAGGGTTGGAGCCATGTCAGCTCCCCTGCCAGGTTAGCAGGAAAGTTATCTGTCTCTCAGACACACTGCTGTTGCCGTGCTTTGGCTACTCAGATTATACAGGCACCACTTTTCATCTGTAGGAATGTTGATGTTACAAATACAAAGGAATTGTGACTCTGCACCTCATCGAAGCCTGAGCCTAGAGGGAGCTCCTCCTGTGAGGATGCAGTCACCCTGACGTGTTCCAGAAAGGCTGTTTATAGTTGCACCCATGCCAGGCTTCCACGGGAGAAGCCCCAACTGTGCCTACAGTGATAAGGGGGGAAAGACTTCATCTTCTTCAAAACCCTTAATGTATACCAGGGATGGCTGACTTGAGGGACTGGGCTGAAGACTTACCCTGCTAAGCCCAGCACTGTACCTGTGTGCCTCTGCAGAAAGAAGCTTCTTACCATCAGAAGAATCTGGCACTCAAGGCCTGCCATCCAGATTCTTTTGTCTTTCAGGATGTTCTCTTGATGTAGTGCACTCCCCCTTCCCCTAGGCTTGAGAGTCGCTGGGAGCCAGACTACTGTGAGTGTTGTTGCTCCTCTGGGTCAGGTGCCCAGTGAAGTTGCCACACTCCAGGCTGGTATTCTGGAATGCCTGCAAGGGATCCAATGATGTGATCTCTGCACAAGTTTTCCAGCAGTGGGTAGCAGCTCTTATGGGTGGGGGGGTGGCAAGGGAGTGACACAGACTCTGTGAATTTCCTCGGTTATTGATAGCCACAGTGTGTTGGCTTTCTTGAAGGTTGGTTATAGTAATAAGGAACCGGTCACTTGGACATATTCAGAACCTCCTGGCTAGCCAGAGTGGTGCAGGCAGTGGTGATAGCTGAGATCACACAGCCATTTTCTCCGTTCTGGGTGCAGTGTTATTCTATCAGGAGATACTGTAATAAATTATGCTGGTTGGCCTTTAGCCAGGAGGTGGTGCTTGGAAAAGAGAACCAGCTTCAGTGGTAGCAGTGAGATGTTTGTTCTCCTTATGTTGTCTGGCAGGATGGAGGTTACTCTTTTTCTCAGGCAATGGGCAGGGCTATATAGCTCCCAAGAGATTCTGCCTTTTGTGTTAAGCTACCAAGGTGGGTGGCAGGGCAAAGCCAAGTCAGAGCTAGGTCAGGTGTGTTTGTGTTCTGAGTCTCCAAATACAGGGCAAGCAGTAGCCCCTGTGGGTACTGGGGGATTGAAGTAGGTTTCAGGATACTTGGTTGATGTTCCAGAGGAAAGCATCACTGCCTCTGCTGCACAGTAGAGTTGGTGTAGGAAGTGGGGAGTAGCAGGTGGTGGTAAGCCCCACACAGTTCTCACACACTTGGAGAGGCAGATCCACTCCACAATGTTCTACTGGCAGCAGCGAGCTGAGTTCCAGTTAGCCTATAATCTGAATTTGAAACTGCCAACTTTCCCTGCAGAGCTAGAAACCACAGCTTTCAGGCCACGCACCTCCATGTCACCTGCAAAGCTTGCACCTGGCTTTTGTACCTGAGCTCTTGCATTTGGAACTCCCACATTCTTCCCAACCCCAGCTCTGGTGAAAGGAGTTTGACCCCACCTGAGGTTATATTGTAAAACTCCATTGGGAGTTTCTTTAAACCTGGGATACTGCCTGAACTTTTCGGTTGCCCTCTGCACGGTCTCCTATGAGGGACAGTAAGGAAAGACTGTCCTCAGTTTGTGCCAAAATCTGAGAATGCATGGAAGGGTCTTTCTTTAACTGCTCCTACTTTTATATTTCACAACCCTCCCCAAGTTTGTTCTTGTGCTCGATGGGGTTAGTACCTTCCCTGGTGGCCTGGACTTTTAGGCTCCGCAGTAGGGTTGTGTATCCTGGGGGTGAATTCTTTCCCTCTCACACTCCGGGGACTCACAGCCCTTCGACTGAGTCACAGTGCATGCTGTAGACTCCTGCTTCTTTCAAAGGGTCTGTGTTTTCCTTCAGTTTTCTTATTCAGTTCCTGCGTTACTTCTTGAGGAAAAGTTCACAATGTGATTTGTTATACACTATTTTGTCCTTCCAAGTGGGAGAGATATGATATAAATTTTTTTAATCAACCATCTTGAAAAATAAATAAATAAATAAATAAATAAATAAATAAATAAATAAATTTATATAGGCTTTTAAAACATTGGTTTTACTGGACCTTTATTCCATAAAGAATAAAGTTAACCCCACTAAACACAGGAACAAATTTGGGGAGAGTTGAGAAATATAAAAGTGAGAGAAGCAACGGGAAGACATTTGCACGCACTCTCAGATTCCAGCACAAACTGAAGGAAGTAATTCCTTGAAATCTAGCCCTCAGATTAGACTTTAAAGCCTTGAGCCCAGCCACAGATTTATCTGTGCCTACAAATACCTGAATTAATTGGGTGCATTCCTCACCCTGAAGTCCTAAGATAATTTAGGGCCCCTAGGTCAGTTAGAAAGTAACATTCTGTACTTACAACAGGTAAGGAACCCTGTACAGGGACTGCAAGGACAATGTAGGAGACAGGTTTTCCCAAGGGTCTTTCATTGGCTACATAAGTGAACTTTGATTTCTTAAAGCAGTCCGAAAGTATGCCATGCTAGTCAAAGCTTTGGTAAAATAAGTAGTGTTTCCAATAGTGTCCTGTTACAAAAGAAAACTGATTCTTATTAAACTTATGCAAATAACTATATTGGCATCAATTAAGTATACTTACAAATAGTTTTCATATTCTGGAGAAATCAAGTAGAGAGAAAAAAAATGTTCCAACTTTGCTCACAGGAGTGTATTTTACCTAATTGTTAAAAGCTGTAAATAGCTCAAAAGAAAAATCATTTTATGGACTGAGAAAAAAAAAGAATTAACAATGTTTCAAACACAATCATAAAAGGATTATTTCAATCTTTCACATGTTCAGTCTATGTAATTAACTCCTGATCTACTTGATGTTTATGAACACATTAGCTGTCTATGAGTCTTGGAAGATTTTCCTCTATTTTAGTGTCATAACCTCCAAAATTTCAGATGTCTGCATTCAAGAGCACCTGTCAGAGTTTTAAATCTCATTTTATATAAACCACCTATTTTTATCCTTTGAAAAGGAAAAAATAAAACAGCTGTGAATGACAAGAGTCTTAGAACATTCATGGTTAAAGACACAAATAACAAGAAAATTTGATTACTTCTGTGGCATACAACAATTTTATAATAATCATAATTACTATGGATAATATATACTAAGATATCAGAATCACAGGAATCTCAAACAATTTTGAAATGCATACTAAATTCACATTTATATAAATACAATTCAAAGAAGGTTAAACACCATTTCATATTTGATAATACTTCTTGTATGAATTTTTACATCAAATAAGCTGAATATATCCTTTTTGGACTTCAAGGGGCCTAATATCAAAAAAATCATGAAGACTGAAGTTAGAATTTGATTTTGGAAAGTTTGTGAAGTGTAAAAATTTCAAAATCCTGGATATTACAATAGGATAGCAGGTCATTGTAAAATAAGTCATTCATTTAGCCAAAGTGATAACTCAAATATTTCAAAAAGAACACTTATTCTTTGAGAGAGGAGATTTAATTTCCTCCCAAAAAGCCCTAATACAGATAGCATGAGGCCAATTAAATCTATCTCTCAAAATTTCATAAACAACTCAATTAAGTTTTAATCATCCTGACCATAAGATATAATTTCCATAAACCTTTTTTAAGCTATAGAATTCTTTTTATTCTGAAGTGGGTTAATGCTCATAGAAAACCTTATTAATCTGACACAGGGGCCCAGATGCTTGTCTTTAATCAGTGTGCCTTGAATATTATTGGTTAATTTGTAGAAAAACTGAACTAATTTTAATCTCTCAAAATCAGCCCTTGTAATCTCATATGCCCACCTCTTACATGATAGTCTGTGGACGTTGAGTAATTGAATAGTTTTAATTTCTGGCCTTGTGTCTCATGAATGCCATTTATTTTGATATTTTAGCTGCTGTCAGTGTTTAAGATTTAACATGACTTGGTATCCTTTTTAGACCCAAGAGTCAAAGCCCTGTAACTAAATGGTACAATAACTTTAAAAGCAAATACAGAAAGTTATATGTATATAATAGCCTCAATTAACAAACAATAATCTCACTTCTTTCTAAGCAAATCACAACTTAATAACAGTGATATAAGAATCATTTTGATGAAATGTAAAATCTGTTTGTTAGGTCAGTTACCAAAATGTACTTTTGCAGTGAGATTGCTATTCCCTATAGGAAGTCCATTAGGTTTGACTGGCAAGCCAAATCTAATGGAAAGGGTACTTGTATTAGTTAGACATAGAAAGAGTGTTTCCTGGTAATGAGTAAAAATTTTTGGATTCACAAAACAATTTAAAGCCAAGAGCACAGAATGTTATATCAGAAGAAAACATTTCTTTTAAACCTTTAAGATAAAACATTTTTAGCATCAGATAACAACAAACAGTTAGAACCTGAGGGTAGAAAACAGCAGGAGCTGAAAATGAGTTGAAGGACAGAGTTAGTATCTTAGGCCTTTTCAAAGGGGAGAGAAAGCTGTAAACAGTGAGATACAATAAAAGTTGAACTTTGAGTTAAAAGAAATTAAAATATCTTGTAATTTTATTAAGAATAGATTAATACTTTAAGAAAACTTTGTTCTAGCCAATTCTTTAGTGTATAAATGTTTTTTAAATATCAATACCCAATCTCTAGAATGACATTGTGAATAATTTCCCTTTAATTACAGACAACTTGATCACATAAAGTTTTCTTTGTTATAAATCTTCTTTGTACAAACTTTATTACAACTTACACAGACAATTCCTGACATGCTTGGACATTCTGGGTTGTCCTCAACATCCCTTTTCCGTAAATAACTGGTCATTTTATTCTAGGACAAAAATGTACTATAAAAGATTCTTTCTCATATAAAATTGTATTATTTTATCTTTCTTGCCAAAACACCTCTTTATACTTATAACATTCTTTTCATTGGTCTTATTTACTGTTTACTTTCACATCATTTCATAAATAACTTTTAAATAACTTTTGAATTTATGAAAATTATTTTCTTGTAAATATGAACGTATATTTTAGAAAATGTTTTTCTATATTTTTTTGAAAAAAGAAAATGAAAAAGACATTCAATTAGTATCTGTCATTTAACTTAATATAACTTTGGATTCTAAATTATATGACAAGTTTATTTACAAGCATTTATTTCATTACATTTACCTAATTAATTTTTAAAATAGTTTACCCAGATTACTTATGAAAACTCTGATAGTTATCATGTAAGATTATATTCCTGTTAATTACTTTTGTAGTCTGTGAATTTCAGGTTTTCCTGAGTAAGAACCTTAAGATTAGATAAGTGGGTTTGTTTTTGTTTTGCCAATAACTCAAGATTTGGCTGTTTTCCATAAACAAACAATATTAAATACTAATTTATCAATTTTTACACAAATAAAGATAATTATCTTTTGGTCTGCATTCATGGTTTTATAACCCTCTTGCCCAATTTTTACATCTAGCAAAGAGAAATATAAAACCATTTGACCAATAAATCTAAACAGTAATGTATGTTGACAATTCTGAAGCCATTTCTAATTCAATTTTACCAATACTTTTATAACCAGCTTATCATTAAAGATTTACTTAAATCACATGACCTTGAAAAGCTTTTGGCTTAGAGTCTCTATTTTATTCTGACAAAGCATTTGACTAAAAGACTTTTTTTTCTTTAAGCCAATTAATTAGAGTTCTAAAATATAGTTTTAGTAGTGAAACATTATATATGACACATAAATACATACGCATATTAGACATGCAGATAAAAGTAGATTTTATAGATTCATAAAACTCTTTCTTCTTCTTATTTTAGACTTCCAATTTCTTGATAACCTGTTTCATTATCCTAGGCAGTTGTCAGCTAGATAGCCCTAAATTTGCACATTAAAGGAACTCTTAGGTGAAAAATCAGATGGCAAAATTTACATCTCAAAGTACAGAGTCTCCTGTGCTAGAGGGAGATTAAAAATGGATGCCGAATCAGACATAAAATTATAGAAATCTATCACAGAATTGTATAAGGGACCAATTTTATTTAGATACATAGTTCTAAATTTAGTCTCTATCTTTTATCTGGACCTCTGACCTCTGGGCTAAGTCCACACTGAATCCTGGATCTCCAAAAAGAGAGAATTATCCTCAGGTTAGACCACATGATGCTTTTACAATGTACTTTTTTTTTTCAACAAAGACATTTCTCTAAGTGTCTAAAGTACATTCTTTCTTTCTTATTTTAAGTACCCAAGAGAAGTCTCTGTTGTAATAACTATTTTAGTAAAAATAAATCAGGTAACAATGCAAAAACAAGCAGTTTAAAATCTGAGAGGAATTTGTCTGTTTACATTTTTGGGGTTCCATAATGAAAAACAGAGGTTTCTCCCCAGAATGGAGTTTGGCACCTTCTCTATTTTCTTTAAGAAATCCCAGGCTGTTAGAAACTACTTTAGGTCCCTCATGCAGCAGAGGGTAGCAAGACAAAGGAGAGAAAGTCAACAGTAAATGGAGAAAACAGAATTCAGTCGACCCTAAAGGATTAAAAAAAAAAAAAACCCTTTTCTCAAAAAAGAACAATGTCCTATGAGGAAAAAAAAAGCATAAAGACTGTAAAAAAATTTAAAAAAACATACACAGCCCTTGTATATTAGCTTTTAATTAAGCTGCCTTTTAACCGTTGAACTCCTTTTAAAAAGTCATTTTAGGCCGGGTGTGGTGGTTCTCACCTGTAATCCCAGATCTTCGGGAGGCCAAAGTGGGTGAATCACTTGAGGTCAGGAGTTTGAGACCAGCCTGGCTAACATAGTGAAACCCCATCTCTACTAAAAATACAAAAATTAGCTGGGTGTGGTGGTGTGTGTTTGTCATCTCAGCTACTCGAGAGGATGAGGCATGAAAATCACTTGAATCCAGGAGGCAGAGGCTGTAGTGAGCCCAGATTGCTCCACTGCACTACGGCCTGGGTAACAGACTAAGACTCTGTCTCAAAAAAAAAAAAAAAATTAAAATCCCATTACCATATTTTAGCTGGGATAAATTGCTGATATTTCAAAAGTAATATAAATATAAATCCAGAAAGGACTTGATTTAGAAACCAAACCCAGGATGTGATGGTGGAAAAAAGGGGCAGAACCTTAGGAACAGAACTGCATCTTAGAGCAGGCAACAGCCATTGCCCTTTCAGTTTGGCTTGGCTAATGAAACGGTGGCCTTGTCATGTACATAAAGCCTTCTAGGTAGTCAAAATCTTTCATTTATCTTCTTTTTGCTGGTCATTTTCTCTTTTCCTTTTTTATTATCAGTTGCAAGAATTATGCCAATTCAGAAGGCTTGTTCCCCATAATTTGGAAATCTCGTTTGGATTTGACCAAGCTGAATAAAGTTGGTCAAACCCAGTAGGACAAAGACTGAAACCACAACAGAAACAGAAACAAACAGCAACAAAAAAGTTAAGCAAAACAAATGATTGCACATTTTATAGGATTACTGAGCATCCTAATAATAAGGGAAAACTAAAACCAGCTCATTGTCAATTTTAACTTTTAATATTTAAGAAGAATTTCCAAGACAAAAACCCAAATTTAGCTACATAGCTAGTGTGTCCAGAATTGGTTCCTTCTGGTGGATTCTTGGTCTTGCTGACTTCAAGAATGAAGCCACGGACCCTTGTGGTTAGTGTTACAGTTCTTAAAGATAGTGTGTCCAGAGTTTGTTCCTTCAGATGTTCAGATGTGTCTGGAGCTTCTTCCTTCCAGTGGGTTTGTGGTCTCACTTGACTTCAGGAGTGAAGCCCCAGACTTTCTCAGTGAGTGTTACAGCTCTTAAAGGTGGCGCGTCCAGAGTTGTTTGTTCCTCCTTGTGGGTTCGTGGTCTCGCTGACTTCAGGGGTGAAGCCGCAGACCTTCACAGTGAGTGTTACAGCTCTTAAAGTTGGTGCGTTGGGAGTTGTTTGTTCCTCCCAGTGGGTGCGTGGTGTCACTGACTTCAGGAGTGAAGCTGCAGACCTTCGCAGTGAGTGTTACAGCTCATAAAGGTAGTGTGGACCCAAAGAGTGAGCAGTAGCAAGATTTATTGTGAAGAGCGAGAGAACAAAGCTTCCACGGCATGGAAGGGGACCCCAGCGGGTTGCCACTGCTGGCTTGGGTGGCCAACTTTTATTCCCTTATTTGGCCCTGCCCATGTCCTGCTGATTGGTCCATCTTATGGAGTGCTGATTGGTCCATTTTACAGAGTGTTGATTGGTGCATTTACAAACCTTTAGCTAGACACAGAGCTCTGATTGGTGCATTTTTACAGAGTGCTGATTGGTGCATTTACAAATCTTTAGCTAGACACAGAGTGCTGATTGGTGCATTTACAAACCTTTAGCTAGACACAGAGTGCTGATTGGTGTGTTTACAATCCTTTAGCTAGACAGAAAAGTTCTCCAAGTCCCCACCCGACCCAGAAGCCCAGTGGGCTTCACCTCTCTTAGGAATGAGGCCTTGGCTCAAGACTTCTCTCTATCATCTTAGAAGCAGGGAACAAAAGCTTCAAACTTGCCTTTCCTGTTGGAAACTAACTGAAACTCCAGAAAGAAGTTACCTGCTCTACATTATCATGGAAGCGGGAAAACTTGCCTTCCTTGTTGGAAGGAATTAAAACTCTAAAAAAGTAGTTGTAAAGCAAAATAAACTTTACATCTCAACCAAATTTTGAGAGATTAGGGATTCTCTAGAAGTCGGGAGCTCCCAGGGCTCAGCAAATTGTCCTACTGGTTTGAGTCATAAGGATAACTAAAACGGGTACCAAGCTCAAATAGGAGATTTGTGAAAGATCAAGGGAACCTCCCCTCAGAATTCCTTTATGGTAATGGATTTGTAAACTCAAAACTATCTGAGACAGGTCTCAATCAGTTTAGAAAGTTTATTTTTCCAAAGTTAAGGATGTACCTGTGACACAGCCTCAGGAGATCTTGAAGACACATGCCTAAGGTGGTCAGAGCATAGTTTGATTTTATACATTTTAGGGAGACATGAGACATCAATCAATATGTATAAGCTGTACGTTTGTTCTGTCCTGAAAGGCAGTGCAACTGAAAGTTGGATAAGAGATAAATGGTTGTAAGGCCGAGGCGGGCGGATCACGAGGTCAGGAGATCGAGACCATCCTGGCTAGCATGGTGAAACCCCGTCTGTACTAAAAATACAAAAAATTAGCCGGGCGTGGTGGCGGGCGCCTGTAGTCCCAGCTACTCGGGAGGCTGAGGCAGGAGAATGGCGTGAACCCGGGAGGCGGAGCTTGCAGTGAGCCGATATCGCGCCACTGCACTCCAGCCTGGGCAACAGAGCGAGACTCCGTCTCAAAAAAAAAAAAAAAGAGATAAATGGTTGTATTCTTTTGAGTCTCTCATTAGCTTTTCACTGAATACTGTGATTAGCCTTTCATTAAATACAAAATTTACATATGAGGTGGCATAGAGGAAAGTGACTTATGCTTTGGACAGGCCTAGTGAATCTGCATTTCTTTTTGGCTTTTTTTTATTATACTTTAAGTGCTGGGGTACATGTGCCGAATGTGCAGATTTGTTACCTAGGTATACACATGCCATGGTGATTTGCTGCAACCATCAAACCATCATCTACATTAGGTATTTTTCCCAATACTATCCCTCCCCTAGCCCCCACCCTCCACTAGGCTCTGGTGGGATGTTCCCCTCCCTGTGTCCATGTGTTCTCATTGTTCAACTCCCACTTATGAGTGAGAACATGCAGTGTTTGGTTTTCTGTTCTTGTGTTACTTTGCTGAGGATGATGGTTTCCAGCTTCACCCATGTCCCTGCACAGGACATGAACTCATCCTTTTTATGGCTGCATAGTATTCCATGGCATATCTGTGCCACATTTTCTTTATCCAGTCTATCATTGATGAGAATTTGAGTTGGTTCCAAGTCTTTGCTACTGTGAACAGTGCCACAATAAACATACGTGTGCATGTGTCTTTATAGTAGAATGATTTATAATCCTTTGGGTATATACCCAGAAATAGGATTGCTGGGTCAAATGGTATTTCTAGTTCTAGATCCTTGAGAAATTGCCACACTGTCTTCCACAATGGTTGAACTAATTTACACTCCCAGTAACAGTGTAAAAGCGTTCTTATCCCTCCACATCCTCACCAGCATCTGTTGTTTCCTGACTTTTTAATGATCACCATTCTAACTGGTGTAAGATGGTATCTCATTGTGGTTTTGATTTGCATTTCTCTAATGACCAGTGATGATGAGCTTTTTTTCATATGTTTGTTGGCTGCATAAATGTTTTATTTTGAGAAGTGTCTGTTCATATCCTTTGCCCACTTTTTGATGGGGTTGTTTTTTTCTTGTAAGTTTGTTTAAGTTCTTTGTAGATTCTGGATATTAGCTCTTTGTCAGATGGATATATTGCAACAATTTTCTCCCATTCTGTAGGTTGCCTGTTCATTCTGGTGATAGTTTCCTCTGCTGTGCAGAAGCTGTTTAGTTTAATTAGATCCCAATGGATTCCCTATTTAATAAATGGTGTTGGGAAATCTGGCTAGCCCTATACAGAAAGCTGAAACTGGATCCCTTCCTTACACCGTATACAAAAATTAACTCTAGATGGATTAAAGACTTAAATGTAAGACCTAAAACCATAAAAACCCTAGAAGAAAACCTAGGCAATATCATTCAGGACATAGGCATGGGCAACAACTTCATGACTAAAACACCAAAAGCAATGGCAACAAAAGCCAAAATAGACAAATGAATCAGCATTCTTGCATAAACAATAGGGCCAAAGAAGCAATTAGATATGCACTTTTTCTCAGGTGAGCAGAGGGTTGACTGAGTTCTGTCTGTCCTTTGTCCTGCACCTGTGAAGATAAGTTATTAATTTTCATTGCCAGGGTGAAATGCAACAGAACTGTTTTAGGGTAAAGCTCTTGAGGACCATGATAAATTCCCTTGTGAACAAATTGTGAAGGAGGTATGTAGCTTCTTTTTTTATATCTTTGTAGCTATCCTATTTAGGAATAAAATGTACTGCAGGTTTGCCTAACACAGTTCCGAACTGGACTTTTCCCTTTGGCTTAGTGATTTTGACGTCTGGAGACTTGTTTTTCTTTCACACCTAGGGCTGGCCCATAGCAACTACAGCCTGCCCACCACGGAGTTTTATTTAGGATTCAAGGCTACTATAGTTTGCAAGTGGTAATGTGGGCCAGAAGTTTAGTCTATTCCACCAGGGCCATGTGTGCCCTTCTGGCAACAGGGCATGCCTAAGGTCCATGGCAGCTATGGCATACCTTTTGATGAGTTTAATTCAGAGCCCAAGACTACTGTAGTTTGCCAGCAGTGATGCAAGCCAGAACTCAAATGCATTCTGCCAGGGCCACAGGCTTATATTTGTCTCTGGTGCACACCTAAAACTCTGCAAAAGCTATGGACTGCCTGCTGCTGAGGTTTATTTGGGTCTCAAGGCAGCTGGAGTTGGCTGGCAGTGCTATGGGCCAGAACTTCAGTCACTCCTGCTGGGATTGTTGGTTCTTGTCTGGCACCATGCCAGGTGTAGAGGTTCTGTTCAGGGTATTGGCCTAGTGTTAGGGTGTGGCAGGCCAGGTCTCACTAACACAGACCTCCTTAACAACTGTTTCAGTACTGACTGAGTGATTAAGTTAAATATTAAAAGCCAGTGCCCTCAAGCTCAACAAGAGTTTTGCCGAGGCCTTTCCTGGGCATTAAAGCATGACAAAATAATGAAAGAATTCTTAACAGGACCCATTTAGGACTAAACAAGTTTCATTGTTGGACTTAAGAAACTCCCCAGGCCTCCACAACAAGTTAATTGGGGATCTGAAGGCACTCCCCAAACTCCCCAAACTTCCATGATTCAGCAGGAGACAAGATAAGGGTAATCAACCCAGCACCTGCACCCATTTAGATTAAGTAAATTTACTGAGGCTTCAGAGGAAGGTCTTCAGGACGCAGACTATAGTTATAGATTAAAAGAAGTTAAACACTTCTTTAGATGAATGAATACTTACACATAGACATATAGCTCAGAAGGTATATAAGCTCCTGAAAACTCTCTAATTTTGAGTTGGTCTGGCGATAATTTCCAGGCCTTCTCCCTGTAACCGGTTGCAGAAATGAAAACTCTTCCTCTGCAGTTCATTTGCATCTCTTTACTGGGCCACAAGAAATAGGAGTCCGACCCTCAGTTTGGTCTGGGAACAAGGGGACATGGGGTTCTGCCTGGTGCTGGGCTTTTTTGTGGCAGACCTGGCACTGGATTCCAAGGCAAAGTCTTATGTTTACTTCTCTCTCCTTCAGCAAATGGTGTCTCTCTTAGTGCTGTGCTGTCTGAGGTTGGGGGAGGGGTGATGTAGGTAATGTAAAAGTTTCCTGTCCACCCTCTTCAATGCATCTTTTAAATTATTATGCTAAAACCAGGTGTAGTAATTTCTTACCTGGTTTCCTGAGTCTTACGAAGATTTGTTTCATGTGTGGATAGTTGTTCAAATTGATGTTTCTATTGAGGGATGGTCGCTGGAGAGTCTTTCTCTGCCATCTTATTCTGCCTGTCTTCTCTTGCTTCACCAACTGACTTCAGCAGGCTCAGACCCTGGATAAAATTCAGTGGCAGGCAGACTGCAGCTGCTGTATGCCTTAGGATGTCTTCCTCTGTAAGTTAGGGCTTACAATAGTATCTGACTCTGAGCATTGTTGTGGGAATTAAATAAGATGTATGTAAAGTAATTACCACATTGCCTGGTATAAAGTTATTGCTTGATTTACATTAATTGTTATTATTATGAGGTCATTATGGTGGTGGTAGTAGTAGTAGTTTCTTTATTGTCATTATAATAGTAGTAGTACCAGAAGTAAAAGTAGAAATAATAGTATAGTGGTAGAAAAATAGATAAGAGTTGTCTTTTTTTGTTTACTTTATACTCATTGCTATCTACTCTGATATTCCTGAAACTGTCAAATTCTATGTCAGTGAAATATCTTTCACTTTCTTATAAATAAGGAAAAGGGAAATAAATACCCATCAGCAGAGCAAATAGTTCTGTTCCCCCAGAGATAGTAAAAAATAATATTTACTTTAATTTTAATGTTATAACTGTATATTCACATTTTGGTTCTTTTCATCTTGTCTTGATCTTTTTTTTCTTTTGATCAGATATGATATCCTCTGACATATACAGCCTAGAAGGGTAAAATACACAAAACAGTATTAAAAGTAGAGGGGTAAGGCAAGTCTTATTGTTTTTACTTCAAAACAATTTTATAAACCTAGTTGGTATCCTTTAAACCTATCTATATCTTTTAAGTTCTTTAGCTTCTTTATAAATTTGTCAATAAATTTTAAAAATGTATCTGATATTGAATTGATGGAATTTCTATGTTTTTATCTCATTACTCCATTGCTAGCCTCATATATATACACACACACACTTATATGATGTATATACATATATGATATATACATATATAATACATATATATATAATACATACACTCACATATTGTGAAAGGAAAATAAATCTTGGGGGCCCCAGATCACTAAGCTAAAGGGAAAAGTCAAGCTGGAAACTGCTTATGGCCAACCTGACTCCTATTCTGTTCAAAGTCGCCCCTCCGCTCACTGAGATAAATGCACATCTGATTGCCTCCTTTGGAGAGGCTAATCAGAAACCCAAAGTAATGCAACCATCTGTCTCTTATCTACCTATGACCTGGAAGCCCCCTCCCCCTTTGAGTCTTCTCACCTTTGCTTCGTGTTATCCCGTCTTTCCAGACCGAACCAATGTTCATCTTGCATATGTTGATTGATGTCTCATGTCTCCCTAGAATGTATAAAACCAAACCGTGCTCCTACCACCTTGGGAAGGCACATGTTGTTAGGACCACCTGAGGCTGTGTCACGGGCGCGCGTCCTCAACCTTGGCAAAATAAACTTTCTAATTTAAATGAGACCTGTCTCAGATTTTTGGGTTTCACAATGTATACATCCATATATATGATATATGAGACACATAAATCATATATATGATATATATCAAATATATACACATATAGATCATATATAAACATATATACACATATATGTGTGTGCATATATATATGGCTAGCAATGGAGTGATGAGACGGAAACCATAGAAATTCCATCAATTTTATACACACACACACACACACACACACACACACACACACACACACACACACACACAGTTTGCTAGCCTCATATACATATGCAAACATTGGCCGCTAGAGGGAAGCAAAAGATCAGAACAAACAGAAACATGCCAGCTACAGAGAATCAATTTTCTGTGAGCAATTGAAAAAAATACTTCTTGACAAACTGTTTTGGTCATGAGGAAAAGATGCTGGACTGGCCTGAAGCACAGCAGAGAGTGGATCCCATCTCAGGAACATAAATAAAACTTCTGTAACTCAAAGTGTCTGGAATAGATGAAACAAGGAATTGAGCAATGTAGTTCATGGTTTTAAGAAGCAAACAGAAGACAGACTGAAGAAATACAGTCCCAGCCCAAATTAGGTTATTAATCATGTTACTAAAGTCAGAGCTAAGGCCGTAGTGAAACACAAGTACAGATGAGAAAAGAATGGAATCAGGACAGAGATGAGGGAGTAAATAAATCACTAGGGCATGCAATGTTCTTCCAATACAGTATGAGATAATTCCATCTGTTTTCAATGCAACATCATTTTATAAGTGACCCCTAGGTAGATACAGTTTAAAGAATGCAGCAGCCAGGGAATTCTAGGCAATTTGGCATTCCTCTGTTCTCAGGTTCATGCATGGGAAATAGTGAAATCATTAGTGTCTTTTTTTTAATCTATGAGGAAGATGAACAATATTGAAGTGGGATGCTAATCTTACATTTCTTATATTTTATTCTATTAATATCTACTTTCCAGTAACCAAGATAGTGTACTTGATTCCAACAGTACCAGGGACATAAAACTGCAAAGCCAGTTTATATAAGAAAAGATTATGTGCAGTGTCACAGGTGAGAAGTAGGTAATGCAAGTGGAACCCATAATTGACATGAAAGAGGGCTTATAGCAGACATTGCTCAAATTGAGGGATTTTTGGCTGCCAGAAACCACATCCTTCCTAATAACATTTCAGTTTACTTTTGGGAATTTACTACTTCTTCATTATGTGTAGTATTGGCACAGTGATAAATCCCTGTGCCCATCTTCCACTGTTCCATTTCATAACTCCGCCTATAGGGCTGAGAGGATCAGGAGGTTGGACACATGATCTAATTGCAGCCAATCAAAAACCCTTTCCCTGGACTTTAAATATTGAATAAAGTATTAAAGTCAGGATACATACTTTGACATATCTATTACAATAGCAGCTGTGGTGGTGATGGCAGAAAAACTGACAAGCCAGCAATATCTATTAAATGGGTGGGCCCTTCTAAAAGACAGTAGCTGTGTTTTTTGTGTGTGTGTCCTACTCCTCGCTCTCATAGATCCTCCTGATCTTCTACCCTTTTATCACTTCTGTGAGCCCTCAGTATCGCTTACTAAATTTGTTTTTACTTAACTTGTTAGAGTTGGTTTCAGGTGTTTGTCACTAAGAGGCCTAATTAATACAAGAATGTTTGGAATTGAAGTATATAAGACATTACTATATGTAAATTCAGGTGTGGAAATATAAGACATTTATGATGTTGGTAACAGAGGACATAATAAGCAAAGTCTTCGTTTTATGTTTCTGTGATTACTATGTGGAATTCACTCACTATTTGTGGGTGAATAAGAAAGAGAAGATGATACTTCACAATATATGGCTTCACAGGCTATACACTATGAAACTCCTTAGGAATCATTTACATAAACTAAAATAGAGATTGGGATCCCTAGAATTGCACAATATGGTGATTATAATGAAAAGGCAACACATAGTTACAAAAACACAAGCAACCCGCACTCCTAATAATGCCATCTAATTCGCACATCTATAAAAATTAAAAGACGTCTTGAATGGGTAACTGCCAATAGGGAATGAGGATGTCTGTCATCATTAACATGTTGAAACAACATAAAGATGACACCGTAGTATGAAATTCAGGTTATTCTGCAGCTAAGCTCGGAAATACAAGCATCTATCAACATTGAGAGAAGGCATAAACTTTGAAAATAGTACCAAAACTTCTTCAAGTTTGCCTAGGCACTGAGTAAGTCAGTCAGTGTATTTTGCACTTTGGTCTAAGACCTGGATTTATTAAATGTTATGGAACAGTGTTTTTCAAAACCTTATATCAAGTATTATACATTATAAAGTTAATATTCCTTGCATGAGGTGATGTATATGCTAAAATATATGTATTACATGTGAAAGGCAAACACTAACAGGAAAATAGAGGTTTCATTTGACAGAAAATGTCATTTATACGTAGGATTTTTTGCCTGCTTAAGTGAATCACTGAAAAACAAACCTAAAGCTTCCTAAAAATTTTAACAAGTAATATATAGTAGAGACCTCCTGAAAATAAAAATATAAGATAACATTTTATATTAAGGCTTGTGACAGCAATAAAATGTCCAGATAAACTATTCTAGCAAAGACAAACTGAAAGAGCTTGAGTTTCTAATAAACACAAACTTTGGAGCCTAACAGAAATATATTTAAATTGTTTTTCTGCCTTTTATTAGTTATGCAAATTTGAGAAATATTTTTAGATTATTTGGGCCCAATTTCTTTATCTATAGAAAATAATATAATAATAGTACTCTCTTCATAAGATAATTGAGATGATTAAATGAGACAATTTATGTATAACACTTGCCAAATTTTCTGGAACATGGTAAATGCCCACTTGTTGCTAAAAACTACTATGGCATTATATAATTCATTTAACAATTATTTATTGAATGCCCATTGTGTACCAGGTAATGTACACAATAGACTAAAGCAAGGCTCTTATGGAACTTACAACCTAGTGAAAGATGCAGATATTTATTTACCTGATTATCCTGAAACTGCAAAATGTGACAGCAGCAAGTAATATGAAGAATAGGCACATTGTGTTCTGAAGTGTTACACAAAAAGAATGAGTAAGGGAGGTCGGAAAGGGCTTCCTAAAGAGAGTGAAATACTGGCAAAGAAATATAAATAATTCTATCATAAAGTCACATGCATGTGTATATTCATCACAGTACTAGTCACAATAGCAAACTCACGGAATCAATGTAAATGCCTATCCATCAACAGTGGACTGGATAAAGAAAATGTGGTACATATACACCATAGAATACTATGTAGCCATAACAATAGAACAAAATCATATCTTTCACAGCGATATGGATGGATCTGGAGACTATTAGCATAAGCAAATTAATGTAGAAACAGAAAACAAAATATTACATGTTCTCACTTGCAAGTGTTAGCTAAATATTGAGTACACATGGACACAAAGAAAGGAATAATAGACACTGGGGTCTACTTGATGGTGGAGGGTGATAGGAGGTTGAAGACTGAAAAACTACCTGTCAGGTACTATGCTCATTATCTGAGTGATGAAGTAATTTGTACACCAAACCCCACAACACACAATTTACCCATATAACAAACCTGCATATGTATCCCCTGAACATAAAATAAAGGTTAGAAATAAATAAATAAATAGAAAGAGCAATAAAATACACATTTAAAAAAACAGCGCTGCATAGTGGTAACAGAAATGAAAAAGATTTTATCTATTTGTAATATATTTTGGAGGATTTATCTACAGAGCTTGGTATTTGACTGAATATGAAAGATAAAATACAGGGAGGTGTCAATAATGACTACCATGTTTATGAAGTGAAGATATTTATTAAAATGGAGAATAATGATTGAGAGACAAGTTGAGCAAGTGGATATCAAATATTCAGTTTGGATCGTCTTCATTTTGGCTTGCCTGGGATACACTGAAGTGTCATTATTAAGTAGGTAGTTAAATATAAGATTCTGGATTTGGCGTACTGGGAGAGTAATCAGCATGTAGACAACCGTTAATGTCATAAGAGTGAGTGAGGTTTCGATGAAGATGTAAAACAATAGAGAAGAAAAGAGCAACCAGAATGAAGTCCTGAGGAATTCCAATATTTAAAGACTATATTAAGAAGGTAAAGAGGCTGTGAGAGAGTGCATAAAGGTAGAAGGAGTTAAATGTCATTAATGCCAAGAGAGTGGTTCAAGGAGAGAGGACTCAAGCATTTAATGACGATAGGCCAAGTACATTAGGACTTACTCCACATAATTTTCAAAATAAAGGACATTGATAACCTTAGCAAAATTAGTTTTTGTGAATAGGGTGTAGGTGGATGACTACAGTGAGTTCAACTGTTGTTCATATGCAGATAGCTCTTTAAAACACAGCTTTAAAGGAGAAGAAATATATAGGGAGGTGACCGGGATGGAAAATCTAAAGGGTTTTCCTTTTTTAAGAGGGAGAAAATAGACTGAATACTAACGTAAATTATCTCTCTTTATAGATAAAAATATACAAGGATGTTAGCAGAAGTGAATCTGTATTTTAATTCTTTGAAAGCTTTTGGGGACACAGGAGTCCACTGACATGTCTCATGTTAATCTCAAAAGATTGGTTAGAGAGATACCCAGGGCCAAAAATGGGAGGAAGCACCTCATTTAATTATCAGTGGAATGTGAAAAATTATTAGTATTTGTTTTAGAATTAGATATGCGTCCTTTTCTAAACTTTTCTTTTAGGTTCAGGGGTACATGTGCAAGTTTGTTATATTGGTAAACTCGTGTCACAGGGGTTTGTTGTACCAATTATTTTGTCACCCAGGCACTGAGTCTAGTACCCAATAGTTATTTTTTCTGATCCTCTTTTTTCTCCCACCCTCCACCTTCAAGTAGGTCCCAGTGTCTGTTGTTCCTCTCTGTGTGTCCATGAGTTTTCATCATTTAGCTCCCACTTACAAGTGAGAACATGTGGTATTTGGCTTTCAGTTCCTGTGTTAGTTCGCTAAGGATAATGAGCTCCAGCTCCATCCATATTCCCACAAAATACATTATCTCATTCTTTTTTTTTACAGTTGCATAGTATTCCATTGTCTATATGGAACCACACTTTCTCTATTCAATCTGTCATTGATGGAAATTCAAGTTAATTGCATGTCTTTGCTATTGTGAATAGTGCTGCAATAAACATTCACATGCATGTCTTTATAGTAGAATTATTTATATTCCATTGGGCATATACCCAGTAATGGGATTGCTGGGTCGAATGGTAGTTCTGTTTTTAGCTCTTTGAGAATTGTCACACTGATTTCCACAATGAGTTAACTAATTTACACTCACACCAACAGTGTGTAAGTGTGTTACTTTTTGACTTTTTAATAAGAGCCATTCTTACTTGTGTGAGATGGTATATCATTGTGTCTTTGATTTGCATTTCTCTAATGATGAGTGATATCAAGCTTTTTTCCATACGCTTGTTGGCTGTTTGTATATGTTCTTTTGAAAAGCGTCTGTTCATGTCCTTTAATCAGTAGTGATCTGACTCTCTAGAAGTTCATCCCAATTCCTTGTGAGGATATTAGGGAAATCATAAACTTGACTTGGACTTCATAAAGCTCATACTTCTACATTTTAAGCACAAAGCTGATTCTATTGGAGACAGTCCAGGACCATCTGGACAATACTGTCATAAGTAAACTAAAACATTGTCCAGATATATGATCATAGTTCAATCAAGGAGAGTCCTAAAACATCATGTTTATAACATATTGGAAAATCGCCCAGACATAATAAAATCCAAAAGGCATAAAGGTAGATAAACACACCAGCCCTACTGAGTGCAACAGGATATCTTTCTGTTATCTCACCCTTCAAAACTCTTGGGACTGGATGGCTTCACTGATGAATTTTACAAACATTCAGGAAGAACTAACACCAATCCCACTCAAACTATTCTGAAGAATAAAGGAGAAAAGAATATTTCCAAACTCATTCTATGAGGTAAATATTACACTGACAACAGAACTAGACAAAGACACATCAGAAAAAGAAAATGATAGGCTGATATCTGTGATGAGTATTGATGCAATAATCCTCAACAAAATACTAACAAAGGATATTTATCAACAAAGTAAAAAGATTATTTATCATGACCAAGTGGGATTTATGCCAGGGATGCAAGGATGGCTGAACATAAGCACATCAATCAGTGTGATACATTATATCAACAAAATGAAGGGAAAAAACATGTGATCGTTTCAACTGATGCTAAAAAAGCTTTTGATAAAATTCAACATCACTTCATGATAAAAACCTTCAAAAAGTGGATATAGAAGAAACATAACCTAAAAATAATAAAAGCCATATACAACAGGCCGAAAACTAGTATCATACTGAATGGAAAACAGCCGAAAGTCTTTTCTCTAAGATCTGCAACAAGACAAAGATGCCCACTTTCACCACTGATTCAACATAGTACTGGAAGTCCTAGTTAGAACATTCAGACAAGAGAAAGAAATAAAGGGCATCCGCATTGGAAAGGAAAAACTCAAATTATCCTTGTTTGAGGATGATGTGATCTTATGTTTGTGAAAACCTGAAGACTCCCAAAAAAACTGTTAGAACTGATAAATAAGTAAAGTTGCAGGGCACATAATCTACATGCAAAAATCAGTATTGTTTCTATACACCAACAGCAAAAAATTTGAAAAATAAATGAAAAAGTAATCTCACTTACAATAGCTACAAATAAAATTCAAAACCTAGAAAATAAATTAGCCAAAGAAGGGAAACATTTCTGCAATAAAAACTGTAAAACATTGGTGAAAGTAATTGAACAGGCTACAAACACAATAAAAGGATTTTCCATGTTCATGGATTGGAAGAATAAGTATTGTTAAAATGTCCATCCTACCCAAAGCAATCTACACATTAAATGTAATCCCCACCAAAATATGAATGACATTTTTCACAGATGTAAAAAAAATTCTAAATTTTTTATGGAACCACAGAAGACCCAGAATAGCCAAAGCTATTGTGAGCAAAAAGAACAAAACTGGAGGAATCACACTACCTGACTTCATATTATACTACAGAGATATAGTAACCAAAATAACATGGAACTGGAATAAAAACAGGCACATGGATCAATGAAACAGAATAGAGAACCCAGAGATAAATCTATTCATCTACAGTAAACTCACTTTTGACAAGGTGCCAAGAACATACATTGGGGAAAAGACAGTCTGTTCAATAAATGGTGCTGGGAAAACTGGATATCCATATACAAAAGAATAAAACTAGACCCCACTGTCTTTTCATATTCAAAACTAAAGTTAAAATGAATTAAAGACTTAAATCTAACACCTCAAACTATTAAAATAGATTAGGACACTCTCCATGACAATGGACTGGACAAAGGTTTATTGAGTACTACCCCAGGCGCAGGCAAGCTAAGCAAAAATGGACAAATGGGATCATATCAAGTTAAAAATCTTCTGCACAACAAAGGAAAGTGAAGAGACAACCAGCAGAATGGGAGAAAATATTTGCAACTATCCATCTGAGAAGAGATAATAACCAAAATATATAAGGAGCTCAAACAACTCTTTAGGAAAAAAATCAAATAATCTAATTTAAAATAGGGAAAAGATCTGAATAGACATGTCTCAAAAAGAGACATATAAATGGCAAAAAGGTATGTGAAAAAGTGCTCAATGTTATTGATCATCAGACAAATGCAAACTGAAACTAAGAGATATCTTCTCGCCCCAGTTGAAATGGCCTATATCCAAAGGTCAGGCAATAACAAACTCTGGCAAGGATGTGGAGTAAAAGACACCCTGTACACTTTTGGTGGGGATGTAAATTAATCTAACCACTATGGAGAACAGTTTGGAGATTACTCAAAAAATTAAAAATATGGTTACCATACAATCCAGCAATCCACCTGTTAGGTATATACTCAAAAGAAAGGAAATCTATATATCAATGAGATAGCTGCACTCCCATGTTTATGGCAGAATTATTCCTAATAGCCAAGATTTAGAAGCACTCCAATGTCTGTCAACAGATGAATGGATAAATAAAATTGGGGCACATATACACAATGGAGTATGGTTCAGCCATAAAAAAAGAAATGAGATCCTGTCATTTGCAACAACATCATGGAACTGGAGGTCATTATGTTAATTTAAATAAGCCAGGCACAGAAAGACAAACTTTGCATGTTCTCACTTATTTGTGGAAGCTAAAAATTAAAGCAATTGAATTCATGAAGAAAGAAGAAGCATGGTTACCAGTGACTGTGAAGAATTGTGTGGGGGTGCGGGGGAAAGTGGACATGGTTAATGGGTACAAAATCATAGTTAGAAAGAATAAATTCTAGTATTTGATAGCACAACAGGGTGACTGTATTCAATAATGACTTAATTGTACATTTTAAAATAACTAAGAGTACATAATTGGATTGTTTGTAACACAAAGACTACATGCTTAAGGTGATGGATACCCCCCATAATAATAGAATAAATTAAGAATGTGGCTTCCTTGGGTGATAATGGAATCATGTGTCTCTCTCTTTGAGAAACATGGAGAAATCAAACATTGTTTAATGGGCAGTGTCAGCCACCTGATATGATACCCCACATAGGGTCTGATGGGGAATATGTCTATCTGCAGTGTCCATTAATACAAGATTGCATGTAAGTTGGTGACTGGGTCCACTAGATCGACATTCGGTTGAAAAATTATTTTTTGTTGAGCCTACCATGATGTATATATAACAGTTGGTTCATGCCATTTTTTGATTCCTGGACATAAAAAGCAGTGAACAAGTTCGATTATTCATTGTGTCACTGGTGTCCAATATAGAACCTGGTACATAGAATCTACTCAATAAATGTTTTTTGAATGAATATGTACACCTTTGTATCCCAACAGAAAATTGTTAGGTCATGCTTTTCCGATATCTAATGGTATGAAGTTTAATTGAGTGACATCTAACATTGGTATTATATACTTTGCTAATTTATTCAGTAAGCATTACTTAGTCCAGATGCCAACTTAATTTCCCAGATGCAAAGTAGAGTTAAAGACAAGATCTTTTTTTCCTGTAATCAAATGATACTTTACAAAAAAAAGTACCAACACAGCAGTATGAGAAAAAAATAGGAAGTTTTAATGCTACTTCCTGCCATCCCTAAGCACAATGAGAAGGAACAAGATGATTTCTAAGATAGGTCAGAGTAAAGGTTAAGGTGCTCACCACTCCAGGAAAAGAATGGCACACCCTAATGGCAAGAAGATGAAACAAGTCAGGACCATACAGGTCCTTCATGTACAATGCTAGATTGTCTTCATCTTATCAGGGAAGGGACAGAAATTTAATCAGCAGTTTCACCAAGTGTAACAACAATGTCACAGAACTGTTAATGTCAGGCTAGTCTAGAGAGAGGGTCAAAGAAGCTACTCTTGTATGAAGTTAACTGGATATAATAATGATTATTATTGAGAGTTGTCAATTATTCATAAATTGAGTCACATATGAACAACCTAGAAATCTCCTCAAATTGTCTCTCTAAAAAGCTAAATGTGCTGTTTAACTTCACACATGCAATTTGTTTCTGATTTCAATGTACTGCACTATAGTGGCCTCATCTTGTATGTAAATTAAAGCTGATGAATTTCAAATAATTGTAAGACAATCTGATAATTAAAGGGAGATTGTGTTGTACAAAGAATGGTGGGGTTTTTTTGTTGTTGTTCTTGTATCACCCTTACAACCCTACCACCACCACTACCACCACCACCATCTTTTCTCCCCCATCCTCTCTCCCACCACCACTGCCACCATCATCTTAATTGGCAGTTAGGATAGGCCCTGTTTGGCATAAGTCAGTATCTCAAGCATGTATCCTGCCATCTATGACTGAATCTGTTTCTCGAAGTTATAAATTAGAAAGTCAAAGAAAAACATCATTTAACCGCATTTCGTTTGGCCCAAACATAGTGAATTCTGTCCCAAGTAAGCTGGGAAACTAGTTGCTATTAAATGTAGCAGAGCACCAGAAACTAGTACAAACAAATGCTGGCTAGTGAAAGGCTCCAATTTGCCTCGGGCAATTGCCAGAAATGGTAAAACTATTGACTTAAGGGCTTAGAGATACCCTTTTGTAAGTCTTGATGGAAATTTGGATCCCAGTCTGCTCTTGAGCACTGACAGGGTATGATCATAACCAAGAGGCATAGAAAGGTTGCGATGTCATGCAAGTAATAAAGCAAGCAGGCATATCTGACTGGGAAATAAAATTCAAGCCACAGGAAGTTCTTTTTACAAAGTTTTCAAAGTGAAGAAAAAAGTAAATCCAAAACTGTCATGACGTACCAGTGCATGTCAGGGAAGAAAAGAGTCTAGGAAGAAGACAAGAAATTAGATATAAGTCAGAGGGTAATCAACACCTCCGTCTCTACCCTTAGAGTAACAGCATAGCAGATTGGTTAAGATCTCAGATTCTATAATCAGTCAAACCTGGGCTTAAATCTCAGCAGCAGCTTATTAATAGCAATGTTTCCTTAGCCACGTTTTACTCAATGTGACTGTGTCATAGTGACTTTATTAGTAAAATGAGAACAATTACTACCTTATAGGATTGTTGAGTGGCTTAAGCAAGGTAGTATGAGAAAAGCACCTGTAATAGTACCTGGCACTAATTGATAACCCTCTTTCTAAATAGGAGCTATAATTAATTTGAAAAGTGCGTCATACCTGGGTGGTTCACGGTATCTCTAAGTTGAGTTGTGAGTTTAAATTTAAATCAACATATTTTCTGAATTAATATTAATCTGTTGATTAATAGATTTCTCCCTCATCACCATGTAAGTAACTGACTCTGTGGTTCTCAAGATATGTATAATCTAAAATGTTTTCGACTGGGAATGAGCCATAACCTATATGTACGATTTATTCTTCCAGGCCCATATCAAATTTCTTCTCTTTTTTGAAACTCTGCCTGAAAATTTCAACCTCATATGATCTCTTTTTCAGAATTCCCGTATGCTTTGTACCTAACTCATGTCATGAATCGTATTTTCTTTCCAGTAGAGCTATTTGTATTCTGAACTTTAAATTTCTTGAGAGAGGGATCATGTCAGATTTATCTTTGTATCCCCCAGAGTACCTAAAGTATGTGCTCAATAAATGTTTGTATTAGTTCAACAAGGGCAACTAATACCAATGAATGTTAAATTCTGCTGTTCAGATAATTATATATTTCTTCACCACAGGCCAAATACTATGATAATGCTCAAATTAAACAACAGCATACCTCAAAGCAGCTTAAAATTTGAGAGGCACATGCGTAGTTAAAGGAAATAAAATACTCTAAAGTATGATTCCTGAAAACAAAATTTTGCCATCCCTTTAAAGACAAGCTTCTCAGAGAACATTTTGGCTCCTTGCTTTCAGTACAATGTGTTTGATATTAACCTATGGGCCACAGCACATAGGCATTTTGGATTATCCTAAGGTCATAGTCAAATCCTTAAATTGTCATGAGCAATAAGCAAAAAAAGAAAAAGTAACAAATTATATCAAAACATGTAAAAACTTCAGAATGGTACTGACATCTAAGAATAACAACAATAAAAAGAAAGGCAACGTGGTATATTGGGAAATAACATCTAATTTTATTCCATCACTATCAGGGAAACTTTGAGTTAATCAGTTAAATTCTCTGACCCTCAGTTTTCTCATCTAAAAATGGGGACAGAAACACATTAACAGTTTTCATCTGAGGGTATGTCAGAGTATTAGATAAATTAGCACTGAAAAAAATCATAAGAGCTAGAAAAAAATACGTGAAATTATACTTTGAAGGCATTAAAAACCAACATAGGCATGACTTAGGAGCTATGATCTTTGAGAAAAGGAAAGCATGTAATGAGAGCTGTAAATTTACTTTGGCTTATTCTCTTAAGTGTTTTAAGTCATGATATAAAGGAATAAAACCTAAGCACAAGGCAATGGTCTTACTGGGCTGAAAAGAGAATGAGTGGAGGTTAAGAACAAGTAAGTTGGAACTTGAAAGTTAAATCCTACAGAGATTAATACATATGTTCAAATCTTCTGCAATTATTTTTAATAATGGAGGGGATTATACAGGGCATGTATGCAAGGGAGCAAGAAACTTAGGGGCCATTTTAGAATTACACTTACTGCAGAGATAAATAGGGACATTTATAATGATAAAATTGTCTTTTTGAAAGAATATATAAAAATCCAAACTTGTTATACATTCAACATAACTAATAAATATATAAAGAAAACATTGACAGAAATTAAAATAGAGATGGACAAAAATTAGAATAGTATTGAAGATTTCAACAAAACCCTCTGATCAAGCAGGTTAGTATGGGTAAATAAAAGATGAATGATATGATTAATTTGACATAATTGGCATATATAGAATATTGTTAATGTAAATTCTTTTCAAGTGCACATAGAACACATCAAAATGGACATTTTCTTTTTTTAAAACAAGTCAACTTATATTTTAGATACTGGGGGTACATGTGCATGTTTGTTACATGGGTATATTGCATGATGCTAAGGTTTGGGATACAGATAATCACATCACCCAGGTAGTGAGCATAGTAGCCAGTAGGTACTTTTTCACCTCATGCCCCACAGACTTCTTCTCCCTTCAGGTAGTGCACAATGTCTACTGTTCCCATTTTTATATCCATGAGTGCTCAACATACAGTTTCAACTTATAAGTGAGAACATGCAGTATTTGCTTTTCTGTTTCTATGTTGATTTGCTTAGAATAACAGTTTCCAGCGGCATCCATATTGCTGAAAAGGACATAATTGAATTATTTTTTATGGCTGCGTAGTATTCCACGATGTATATGTACCACATTTTCTTTATCCAATCCACCACTGATAGGCACCTAGGTTGATTCCATTTCTCTGCTATTGTGAATAGCACAGCGATGAACATACAACTACATATGTCTTCTAGGCAGAATGATTTATTTTCCTTGGAGTATACACCCAGTAATTATATCACTGGGTGAAATGGTAGCTCTGTTTTAACTTCTTTAAGAAATCTCCAAGCTGCTTCCCACAGTGGCTGAACTAATTTATTATTCCTATCAACAGCGTATAAGCATTCCCTTTTCTCAGCACCCTCATCAGCATTTTTTTTTTTTTTTTCTGAGACAGAACCTCGCTCTGTTGCCCAGGCTGGAGTGCAGTAGCGCCATCTCGGCTCACTGCAAGCTCCACCTCCTGGGTTCACGCCATTCTTCTGCCTCAGCCTCCCAAGTAGCTGGGACTACAGGCGCCTGCCACCACACCAGACTAATTTTTTGTATTTTTTGGTAGAGACGGGGTTTCACCGTGTTAGCCAGGATGGTCTCGATCTCCTGACCTGGTGATCCACCCGCCTCGGGCTCTCCAAGTGCTGGGATTACAGGCGTGAGACACCAGAACTGGCCGCATCTGTTTTTTTAATGACTTTTTAATAACACCCGTTCTGACTGGTGTCAGAATCATATCTCATTGTGGTTTTAATTTGCATTTCTCTGATGATTAGTGATGATGATCATTTTTTGTTTGTTGGCCACTTGTATGTATTCTTTTGAGAATTATCTGTTCGTGTTCTTTGCCCATTTTTAATTGGGTTATTTGATCTTGCTTGCTTATTTAAGTTCTTTATAGATTCTGGATATTAGACCATTGTGAGATGCATAGATTGTGAATATTTTCTCTCATTGTGTAGGATGTCTGTTTACTCTGTTGATAGTTTCTTTTGCTATGCAGAAGCTCTTTAGTTTAATTATGTCCCACTTGTCAATTTGTGTTTTTGTTTAAATTGCTTTTGGGAACTCGATCAAAAATTATTTGTCAAGGCTGATGTCAATAAGGGTACTTCCTAGGTTTACTTCCAGGATTTTTATAGTTTTAGGTATTAAATTTAAATCTTTAATCCTTCTTGAGTTAATTTTTATATATGGTGAAAAGTAAGGGTTCAGTTTTAATCTTTGCTAGTCAGTTATCCCAGTACCATTTATAGAATAGGGAGTCCTTTCCCTGTTGCTTGTTTTGGTCAGCCTTGCTGAAGATCAGATAGTTGTAGGTGTGGAGCTTTATTTCTGAGATTTCTGTTCTGTTCTATTAGTCTATGTGTCTGTTTTTTGTAGTAGCACAATGCTGTTTTGGTTACTATAGCTTTATGGTATAGTTTGAAGTTGGGTAGTGTGACACCTCCAGCTTTGTTTTTTAAGCTCAGGATTGCTTTGGCTATTTGTGCTCTTTTTTCCACATGAATATTAGAGTTTTTGTTTAGCTCTGTTAAGAATGACATTGATAGTTTGATAAGGCTATTGTTGAATCTGTAAATTGCTTTGGACAGTATAGCTATTTTTATGATATTGATTCTTCCAATCCATGAACACAGAATGTTTTCTCATTTGTGTCATCTCTGATTTCTTTCAGCAGTGTTTTGTAGATTACCTTGTAGAAATCCTTCACCTTCTTGTTTAGCTGTATTCCTAGGTAATTCATTTTCTTTGTAGCTATTGAAAATGGGATTGTGTTTTTGATTTGACTCTCACCTAGGATGCTGTTGGGATGTATGAATACTACTAAGTTTTGTACATCGACTTTGTATCCTGAAACTTCAGTGAATTTATCAGTTCTAGGAGCCATTTCACAGAGTCTTTAGGGTTTTCTAAGTGAAATAATATTGTCAGCAAAGAGAGATAGCTTGACTTCTTTTATTTAGATGCCTTTTATTTTTTTATCTTGCGTGACTGCTCTGTATAGGAATTCCAGTACTATGTTGAATAGGAGGTGAAATTGGACATCCTTGGGTTCTTCCAGTTCTCAAGGGAACCATTTCCAGCTTTTGTCCATTCAGTACGATGTTGGCTGTGGGTTTGCCATGAATGAATTTTCATATTTAGAGATATGTTTCTTCAATGCTTAGTCTGTTCAGGATTATGATTATGAAGGGATGTCAGATTTTATTGAAAGCTTTTTTTATGTCTATGGATATGATTGTATGGTTTTTGTTTTTATTCTGTTTACGTGATGAATCATATTTATTGATTTGCATAAGTCAAACCAAGCTTGCATCCCAGAAATAAAGCCTATTTGATCACGGTGAATTAACTTTTTGATGTGCTGCTGAGAATAGTTTGCTAGTATTGTTTTGAGGATTTTTTGCATCTATGTTTATTGGGGTTATTGGCCTGAATTTGTTTGTTTGTTTGTTTGTTTTATGTTGTGTCTCTGCCAGATTTTGGTATCAGGCTCATGCTGGCTTTATAGAATGAGTGAGAGAGGAGTCTCCCTCTTCAATTTTTGGAATAGTTTCAGTAACATTGTTATTAGCTCTTCTTTATATGTCTGGTAGAATTTGGATGTGAATCAATCTGGTCCAGAGTTTTTATTGAATTATAAGGGTTTTTGTTACTGTTTCATTTCATGACTCTATATTGGTCTATTCAGGGTTTCAATGTCTCTGATTCAATCTTGGGGGATTATGTGTTTTCAGGAATTTACCCTTTTCCTCTAGATTTTCTAATTTGTGCATATTGAGCTGTTAATAAGGTCTTTTATAGACCTTTTAAAGGGTCTTTTGTATTTCTGTGGGATCAATTGTAATGTCATCTTTGTCATTTCTGATTGTACTTATTTGGATCTTTTTTTCTTGTTAAACTAGCTAGTGGTCTATCAATTGTGTCTATGCTTTTGAAAAACCAACTCCTGATTTTATTGATTTTTAAATGGATTTTGCATCTAAATTTTATTCAGTTCTTCTCTAATTTTAGTTACTTATTTTCTTCTGCTAGTTTTTTGCATTGACTTGCTCTTTTTTTCTGGTTCTTTTAGGTACAAAGTTAGGTTGTTAATTTGAAGTATTTCTAATCTTTCTAATGCAGGCATTTAGTGCTATAAACATTTCTCCTAAGACTGCATTAACTACATCCCAGATATTTGGGTAAGTTGTTTAAAATAGGACACTTTCTGAATCAGAAGCATATCTCGATAAATTTCAAAACATTAAGTTATACTGAATATCTTTTCTAACTATGGTGGCAATAATAATGGAACATTAATAACAGCACAATAACAAGAAATTTCCCAAATATTTGAAAATGAAGAAAAACATTCAAAATATTGTGAAAAAGAAAGTCACATTTTAAGCTACATTTTTTTTATCAAAATAAAAATAAAGATACTAAACCTTGTTGGATGCACTGAATTGGTGTTGAAAGAGATGTGTTGAGCGTAAATGCATGCTGCAGAAAAAACAAACCTTTGAACATTAATATAACCTAAGCTTCCATTTCAGCAAATTAGAAATTGAAGACAAATGGAACACAAAGAAAGTAAAAGAAAGTAAGTAATTAAGAAAAGAGAGAAATCAGTAAAATTAAAAGAAGATGTAAACCACAGAAAATTAACAATGTCAAAATATTTTTTCAAAAAGTTAATATAATTCATTAAACTCTAAAAAAACTAATCAAAAAAGGAAGAAAAAACACAAATTACCAACACTAAAAATTTAAAAGATTATCAGATATTATTAAGCATCCTAAAGAGATTATAAAGATAATAATAAGATATTATGAACAACTTTCTGAAAATAAATTTAGAAATTTAGATGAAATAAGTAATTCCTCAAGAGATCTAACCTCCCAACACACATACAGGAAGCGCTAGAAAATGTTAATAGTCTTTTATTTATTAAAGAATTTATATATAAAAAACCCACAGCAAAAATAAAACAACTGATAAAAAGTAATAAAAAAAACCCTCTATATAAGTAGCTTCACTGGTGAACTCTACAAACCTTACAAAACCTCTACCAGAATAACAACAGAACACTTCCTGCCTTAATTTTATGAGGCCAATACAACCTTGACACCAAAAACTGGCAAAAGTATCACAAGAGGTGAAAATAACAGGGCAATATCTCTACTACCCAAAGATGCAGTAATCCCAAAGAAAATTATCATATCAAATCCAATCATATATAACAAGACAAAATATGACCAAGTGAACTTGATGCCATGAACACAAGGTTGGTTTTACATTAAAAAACAGTCATTTATGAACCAAATACAATAATGAATCATAAAAATACAAGCATCTAATAGATACATAAAAATAGATGATACGATTTAATTGTCATGCCAGATAAAAAGTCTCAGAAAACTAGGCCGGGTGCAGTGGCTCACGCCTGTAATCCCAGCACTTTGGGAGGCCGAGGCGGGTGGATCACGAGGTCAGGAGATTGAGGCCATCCTGGCTAACATGGTGAAACCCCGTCTCTACTAAAAATACAAAAAAATTAGCTGGGTGTGGTGGTGGGCGCCTGTAGTCCCAGCTACTCGGGAGGCTGAGGCAGGAGAATGGCATGAACCTGGGAGGCAGAGCTTGCAGTGAGCCGAGATTGTGCCACTGCACTCCAGCCTGGGCAACAGAGCCAGACTCTGTCTCAAAAAAAAAAAAAAAAAAGTATCAGAAAACAAAACTACATTTCCACAATTTGATGATGTATATTTACATAAAACCTAGAACAAGTATCATATTAAATAATGCAATCTGGAACACTGAGTTTGAGAACAACAATGCCCACTATCAACATTTCTATTTAATATTTTACTAAATAATTGTGCCAGTGCAATACAGCAAGAAAAAAAGATATATTAGGATTAGAAGTATTAAAACTGGCTTTGTTCACATATGTCATGTTTTTGTACATGACCAAACAAAATAACTCATAACAAACTATTAAATTAATAAATTTAGGCTGGGTGTGGTGGCTTGCTTACACCTGTAATCCCAGGACTTTGGGAGGTCGAGGCGGGCAGATCACTTGAGGTCAGGAGTTCTAGACCAGCTTGGCCAACATGGTGAAACCTCATCTGTACTAAAATTACAAAATTTAGCTGGGCATGGTGGCAGGTGCCTGTAATTCCAGCTACTTGGGAGGCTGAGGCAGGAAAATCGCTTGAACCTGGGGGATGGAGGTTGCAGTGAACCGAGATCATGCTACTGCACTCCAGCCTGGGTGACAGAGCAAGACTCCATCGCTAAACAAACAAACAAACAAACAAGTAAATAATAAATTAATAAATAAATTTGCCAGATAACTGGATACAATATCAATGTACAATAATAAATTTTATGTCTATGTGTCAGTAGAAAACAATTAGGAAGTAAAATTTAAAGAATAATATCATTTACCATTGCATCAAAAATACTTAAGAATAAATTTAAAAGATATTTTTAAGATTTCTATACTGAGTCAAGTGGCCATAGACATATGAACAAGTACAACATGTTAGATATATGTAAGTGAAAATATTATTCAGCCTTTCAAAAGAAGTAATCACTGTTTGCAACAACAT